>NC_000001.11:207427011-207578526 GCF_000001405.40 Homo sapiens
AAACCAAAAACAATACTACTTTCCTGGAAAAATTGCACAAATTAATGTAACCATCACTTATGATTTCTGCAACATATTCATTCATCTCACCTGCTTGGCCAATGCAGAAAATGATATTGGCTTAACATTAACTTAATGAAAGCCTGAATCCAATTAGAGCCAATAAGCATGTACCCTTCTACCTGCAATGCAGCTGTTGATTCAAAGTATTTTTCTCTTGACCTGTTAATAAAATACACCAGAAACAGTTTCTTTTCACCTGGCGTGGTTATTAACACATCTTTTCTGTTCTACTTTGGGTTGTATCAATTCTCTGTCTGTCTTAATCTATCTGTAGGGACCTTGTTCACCTCTTCATTCTAAAGAATATTATAGCCCTACGGCATGACTAGGGCAGAGAGAAACCCAGGAGGATAGTATAAGGAGAGCTACAATGATCATCAAGAGCCCGACAATGCAGCTTCTTGGAACCAAGAACTTTGAGGATATTAAGGATGTTGGTCCATAGCTTAAAAACAATGGAAAGCCTTTAACAATTTTGAAAGCTTCAGGGATAGATAAAATTGTGTGTGCAAGGGGAGTGGGGGTGACTTTTTTGTGATTTCAATAACAAGGAGGAATTTATTCTATCAAATAGAACAAAATGAGATTTGCATTTTGAAGATATCACTCTCTGTGTGATGTCAAAAATGAATATGAATGGGAGGCACAAAAATTGAAGGGACATCAATTAAAAGAAAAGTGCATTATTTTAAGATAGAGATGGTAGCTTGGAATATGCTGGCAGAAGATATGGGAAGTATGGATAAAGAGGTATTTTGAACAAAAAATAGATGGATCTCAAAGATGGATTAGATATTGGAGAATGAAAAGCATGAGATATCATGGATGAACCTGAGATTTGTAAATTAGGTGACTGGATGCATGATGGTACTATTCAATGAGATTAGAAACATTGGCAGGAACCAATAACTTTGGAGGGAGTGTAAGAATTAAAGAAAGAGGAAAGATACATGAAAGGTGGCTTGACAGTTAAGGACGGGTTTATTTTAGAGAAAACAAACATGAGAGGGGCTTCTGGCTGAGTTAGGTTAGAGCCTACTTTCTTAGAGACTAAGAGTTTTTAAGGATTCAGGGTGGAAGAGTTTATCAGAGGCTTGTACTCCTTCTGTGTTTCTTTGTTGCACTTATCTGGGAGGGAGAGCTTTGTGTCTGTTCCCATACATCTTCCTGCAGCTGCAGGCATACCCACCCTCCTCCCAAGTCTGCTTTTAGCTTCCCTTAGTGCACTTAAATGGAAAGGAATGTGCTTATTAAGGCCCACTGTTTTACTGGGGCCCATTGTATGAGGGTGAAGTTTGGCAGTTACCCAAGAGACTTCCCCACCACCTCCCTCTGTGCCCCAGCTGTCTTATCTGTATTTTACTGTCTGCTCTTTCTGGGCACTTGTTGTTAGAAGAAAAGTGATTTCCTTGAAATGCATGAGGCTAGAAAAAGAGCTGGAACTTAAAGTGGCAGTGTTTGTCCAAGATGATGGTGCTCCTGCTCTGTCAGGGAGGACTGAGTTTGGTGTTTGACATATTGATACTGAAGTATCCACATGGAGAGGCAAAATAAGGTATACAGGGTCTTAGGCTTAGAAGACAGGTGTGAGCTCAATTTAGAATTTTTCAAGTCATAGACGTAATAGATACATTTGCCTGTGGAGATATAATAGAATGTGAAAAGAGCCCAGGATTCAGCCTCGAGAAACTCCAACATTTAATCACCAGACAGAGGAGGATAAACTGGAAAAAAAGATATATATGTATATAGAGAGGAAGAATGACCAGAGAGCTAAGCAGATAACCAGCAGATAATGATATCTGGGGAAGACAGCAGAACAAATTGTTTCAAGAAGAAAACAGTGGTTAATGTCAAATTCCACCAAGAACTGAAAAATGTTCATTGGCTTTGGCAATATGAAGGTGATCGTTAGTCATAATGAGAGAGACAGAGGCTAAATCAAAGTAGGTTGAACATTAGTAAAAGGTGTTGAAAAGGACAGGCCATCTGTAACTCTTTCAAGACATTAAGAAATTTGGCTGAGGCTGGGCACAGTTGCTCACACCTGTAATCCCAGCACTTTGGGAGGCTGAGGTGGGGAGATCACGAGGTCAGGAGATTGAGACCATCTTGGCCAACATGGTGAAACCCCATCTCTACTAAAATACAAAAAAATTAGCCGGGTGTGGTGGTGCGTGCCTGTAATCTCAGCTACTTGGGAGGCTGAGGCAGGGGAATCACTTGAATCCAGGAGGTGGAGGTTTCAGTGAACTGAGATCAAGCCACTGCACTCCAGCCTGGGTGACAGAGCAAGACTCCGTCTCAAAAAGTTAAAAAAGAAAAAGAAAGAAAGAAAGAAAGAAAGAAAGAAAGAAAGAAAGAAAGAAAGAAAGAAAGAAAGAAAGAGAGAAAGAAGGAAAGAAAGAAAGAAAAAGAAATTTAGCTCTGAAAGTGAGGAGAAAGGGTTAGAAGTTGGGGGAAGAAAGTCTTTTGAGATTTTTTTTAGCTCTTTTAAATGTCACGGGGAATGATCCAATGTTAGAACACAGTTGAAAATACAGGCAAGAGTGGAATTGTTTGATAGTTAAATGTTTCTGAAAAATCAGGAAAGAGTAGAATCCAAGACCTCATGTGAAAGAACTGACCTTCAATAAGAGAAGAGAGAAAATGGAAAAAAGAAAAGATGAATGCAGATGGAGGTTCCTAGAGTTGCTAGCAGGAAATTGGGAGACTAGATCTCCGACGGCTTCTCAGTGAAGAAGGAGGTGAGAAGACAGGCAGAAAAGGGTCAGTTATGGTTGGAAGGGTGAGGAGTATAAAGAAGATACAAAGTAATCATTGATAAAGTGAATTAAAAAGAGGAAAACAATGGTAAGGTTGCCACACAAGGTTGAGTCTATTTGAAATTAGTTATCCTGAATTTATCCACCAGTGCAACCTGCCATGTGGCTCTATCTCAGTGCTTAGGTAAGGAAAGCAGAAAGTAACAATGATTGAGGTTTGGGATTTTCTAAACAGTTGCCATAAGGAAGCAGGCAAAGGAGTTTGTTACTGGCAGGAGTGCTGTTGAACTTGTGGTATAGACTTTTGACTGATTAAGGAAGGAACTGAAGAAAGAGTGGGCAAATAGATTAGAATAAGGGGAAAGGCGACAGAAAGTTCTCATGAAGTCAAACGAAGGTCAAGCAGTTTGACACTGAAATAGGTAAGCTGAATGCAGTGGAGATTGTATGTAGACAGCAGGATGTCTGAATTAGAGATTTTGGAAGTGGTGCCATATTAGGACATGACAAAGTCTAGGGTGTTACCAAGGGGGTATTTTGTTGGAAGTATCTGCTTGAAATCATGTTAAATTTAAACCTCACTCTCCAAAGTCAGTATAATTACACTTATAATTTTTAATCCTGGCATTGGCGTTTATACTGTCAAAAATAAATAAATCCAATAGGGATAAGTTTGCATATTCTGTCTCTAAATCCATTCCCACAAATTGCATTTACATGTCTTCAACTGATAGCAACTGTAACAATTTATATTTAGGCTTGCAGACTTCCTCTTGATGACATTCAAATTTTTTACCCATTTATCAGAATTTCCTAAAACTGTGGTTCACAACCTTCGTTGGTTATCAGAATCACCTGGGGAACTTTTAAATTCATAAATTCTCAGCCTGTTCTGATTCAGTGAACAGTGAACCTGATTCAGTAGTTCCCAGGTGGGGCATGAGAATCTGTACATTTAAAAAAAAAGCTTCCCAGGTGATTCTGACAATTGGTCAGGGATGACAAGCATTGCCCTCAGAGATGAGTAAGTATTCCTCAGTTGACCTGCCACTGACTTCTCAATTCCTCAATACAAATTTCTGGAGCTACACATCCCAAAGGAACCAGCTTGAATGCTGGAAGAAGGAACCACAAACTATAAACTAATGGAGCTAAAATTTACCTTTTTAGGGCTAATTTATGGGTTTTGAATACTTTTAAAATATTAAGACAATTCTGTTATGTTACCACCTGGTTTTTTTTTAAAAGGGGCTACCTATTTCATGATTTCTCTTTTATAAGAGTAACACTTAGATGATAATTTTATTGCAAGACTATTATATTATAATTGTGTGATATACTTTACTGTAAAAATAGTATAATTATTTGTGATGTCAATTGCCAAGTTTTCTTATCTATGCTCCCATATCTGAGTTTTGGAAATTGAAAAAAAGAGAGAGAACTTGGGAAGCTATTGTAGAAGCCTAGGTTAGAGGTGATGATGGTGAAAACTACAAAAATAGCAGAATGGACCCAAAAAAGAGAAAAAAGTTGAAAGAGGTTTATAAGATAGAATAGACAAAGTTGGGATTAGGAATAATATCTTCACATTTCTGTAGGAGTTTGAAAACTAACTTTCTATTAATCATATCTTTAAGTGCCACAAAGTAGAAGTCTTTTTAATTTTGGTTTAAAGACAATATATTTAGTCTTATTTCAAGTTATATGATTATTCCTAATATTAGCTTATATTTTAACCAAAAAATAATCAGAGACTTAAAACCAACTTTCAAATTTGCAGTTGTAACAAACATACTTTAACCTAAAAGAAGAATTGAAAGGCAAGTGCAATGTACCTTGGTTCCTATTTCCTATGGGAACTGTTGTGAGAATTTAAGACAAAACCCATGGGGGAAGGGAGGAAGTGAATTCAATTATGTAACACAGACAAACCAGAGAATAGCAGATTAAAACAGGTGTAAAATTCACCAACTCTAGGTGAAGGAAATTAAACCCTTTTAAAGTCCATATGTTTAGAAATATAGCTCAACTACAACAACGCTACTGGAGCCTATGAGCGATCTATAAGTGTGTGCTTTCATTTTACTTCTAATCTCACAAAATAATTATTCCTAGCAATTGATAGTTTATTCCAAAAAGAAGCCTGACTTTGGCCCTCTCACTGACCTGGAAGAATTTTTGATGACATGTGTGTTAAATGTGTGATTGAGGTGAAGTAGGGATGAATAGCCAGAGCTGGTTAAAAGGATAATCATCCAAAATAATACTGACCTAGGAAAGCTTTAGGTCAAACCTGCCATATAGAAATACTACAAATATAACTATTTGTTAATATAAGTACTGTTGCATTATTAATTTTATAAAAATCTTCAAATGTTCAAATGTGTAAATTCAATATGGATACCAGGATGGCTTATGAACAGCACATGAGAAAACAACTTCATGATGTAATTAACTCAGTGAGTCAATAATGTGATAGAACTGTCTAAATCACTTCTGTCATGTTGGACCACATTAGTACAAGTTTAGTGTGCAGGAAAAAAGAGACGATAATCTCATGCTTTTCTTTGCTGATTACACTGTACAATATTGAGGTCAGCTTTGCCCCCCACATTTTAGAATGAGAGTGATCAAAATATGTTGTATCCACCAGCAAGTGAAGAAACTGGTACAAGAACTTAAATCCATAATATAATTAATAAAAGAAGTAAAATGCTTGGCCTATAGAAGGACATGATAGCTGGTGTCAGATATGGGAATTAGCAAATGACAGGATTCAGTAAGGCCAATGGTTGAAAACAGCAGGTGGGCAAATTTTGTCTCCATGCCAAAACAAGTAAAGAGAGAGGCCGGTGCGGTGGCTCACGCCTGTAATCCTAGCACTTTGGAAGGCCGAGGCGGGTGGATCACGAGGTGAGGAGATCGAGACCATCCTGGCTAACATGGTGAAACCCCGTCTCTACTAAAAATACAAAAAAATACAAAAAATTAGCCGGGCGTGGTGGCAGGCGCCTGTAGTCCCAGCTACTCAGGAGGCTGAGGCAGGAGAATGGCGTGAACCTGGGAGGCGGAGCTTGCAGTGAGCCGAGATGGTGCCACTGCACTCCAGCCTGGGCGACAGAGCAAGACTCTGTCTTAAAAAAAAAAAAAAAGTGAGGAGAGAATGCCTTAACAGATTTCAAGTCAAGAGGGGACTAATAAAGCTCTTTGCAGATAATGTTAAAACAGAGTGTATTGGTTTCAAAAAAATAAAATAAAATAAAAGAGAGTGTATTGCATAAAGCACAGGAAAGAAATGTTCAAAAGCCCCAAACATTTTCAAATATGGGTGCCAAGCTGACTATATTAAAATGACCACCTGGAAAATCATCAAAAACACAGGTTCTAGTTCCTTTATCTGGGAGATTCTGAGTTCTTTAGCCTAGATTCAGACACAGAATCTATCTTTAACATGTTCCCGGGTAATTGTGATGACCAGCCATGTTTAGAAATCACTGAATCATGTTGTATCTAAAATTCTATTCCAATCTAAACCCTGTAATTCCAATGCTTATGAAAGATTATGCTATTGGCCAAATGGCCTAAGAAAATATTCAATGAGGTTAATATTTCATTTATATTTATTTTATCATGCTTAATTTATAAGAATATCCTAAAAATATCACCTGAAAGAGAATTTGGAAGCATGAAGAAACAAGAACAAACTCTAGTTTGTTTATTGTCTAGTTATTCTACTAGATTGACTAAGAACACTGATGTGTGTCAGATGTCATGGAAGTCCCAGGGTCAAATCTAATACCCCTTTACCATCCTGCAGAAAGCACCGGTCTTTCTTGGTTTGATTAGAGGGATTTTCCAAAAAGGAGAAAAGGGTCTTTTGTCCAAATATCCAGCTGTACTGTCTGATGAGCACTTATTTAAAAAACATATTAGAAAGAACATTGCTTACGATGAGAAGTTTTACAAAGCACAAAAGTCCTTCAGTCAGCGTGAACATTAGCCAGTAACGCTCAAGAATTGTTTCTGTGATATTCACTATCTAGTTCTGGATTCTTCTTTCACTGTGTATACTCAAACATGTGGCACTGGATTTTGGAGAGTAATTTGTTTCCTTAGAGCGGGATTGCTGAACTGAAAAAGCAGGACAAAGGCAGAGTTTCTATAGATGAGGCTGTAGGCCCATTTTCAATATATCAGTCTCGAAAGTGCAAAGGAAGACACTTTAAAAAATCATAAGACACAAGAGCTGAAACAGCCCTTAAGGATGTTAGAGTTCAACCCCTCCTTTTATAAATGAGGAAACCAAGTCCAGAGAAAGAATGTGAATTGACCAAAGTCCTACCCTTAGTGATGGAATTGGCACGAGAATGTGAGCCTCCATTCTCAGGCAAGTAGTAGAAGAAATTCCAAGAGTATCGACCTCAGACACCACTCAGGAAAAGGAGCCCCATCAAAGTGAAGGGAGGCAGTGCTGATGGGAGATGTAATTAACAGTTCATTTAGCCTGTGCTGACAGTGAGAACTGGATGGCAATTTGCTCTGCATGTAGAAAACGTGCATAAGATGACAGTGGTAGGGAATCAATGATTGCGGTAATTCATGAGCAAGGCACTGGAGAAAGAAAATGTAAGAAAAGAACTAAAGGCTAAATTCAGGTTATTGGGATAAAAATTAAACCTGGGATCTCTAGATTAGTATTTCCTGAGGTGCTGTTTCTATTATAAATAGAACATAAGAACTAGGAAAAGAACCAGAAACAGCATATAAAGAAGGCAATACTGCTAAGAAAGAGATTTAGATGCATAGAACATGCTGTGGATTTAGGGGAAGCTGCAGAGGGAAAGATAACACCTAGATAGAAAGCAATGGCTTCCCCTCTAACACTACCCTGGGATCACATTATTGGCACGAAAATAACGTAAGGTCAGAAAAATTTTTAAGTTAGGATAAATGTTAGAAGAGTCCTCAAATGAACTCGTGTCCAGGAGGAAATATTATGGCCCATATAAGAAGGGAATTGGGACTTTGGTCTCCCTATCAAATTGGAAAAGAACAAAGTCTTGAAAAATAAGACTTTACGGAAGGGATATAAAGCTAAAATTTAACTAGTTGTGATTCAGTTTTTTCTAATAGGAGTCTGGAATCATAGTTAAGCTGGGTAAATGATTAAGTAAATTTTGTTCAGTAGAATATTATGTGATTATTAAAGTGATACATATGAAGATTTTGGAAATACATTAACGAAAATTTATGACCTAAGATAAGTGAAAAAAACATGTATCATAGGGTTATTTTGATAATTGATATGGAAATAATTTTAAATGATAAAGTGTATTTATACTACACAATATATAGAAAATTTATTTTTTCATTGGGATGAAGATTAAGAATCAAATAATCAAGATTAAGGTCACAGAATACATGTAGCTGTTGTTTTAAGAAGAGTGGCTTATGGGCCTAAATTTTTATAAAGTGGTTCAAATAATGAGCATTAAAAATACGGTGAAATCAGATTCTTGGCTAAAATTGAGAACCCATATATAAGGTAAACTTCAAAGTCTTGGTAGAAGGAACTTAATGAATAAAATATGATTTTACTATACCATAAAATATTTACAAAGAGTGATGGTTTATCAATAGGAAACATATAGGAAAAATATACACTGTAATTGTGTAATGGGCTTATTGAAAGTGAAGGAACTGTGGAAATTTTTTAGTGAAACTTCTTTAAAGTATAGAAAAAAGATCAGAGAGCACTTGACTGGGAAAACAAAGTAGACTCCCAAACTCCAAATTAGTTTGGAAAGGCTGAGAAAAGTGACAAGATGTAGAATATTGGTTTTGTATGAGATAAATGGCAACTTCCAAAATCAGGTGATCAAAATCACAAGGAAAGAAATTCACGCATGTACATGTTCAGTTTTGCTGAGAGAAGTCTTCTTTCCTTGTCTTCTCAGAATCCTATCACAGTAAATGCTCAGATAGAAGTTTTTGAATAAGAAGTCCTTTACCCGCTTGTTTTTGTCAGCTTTGTTAAAGATCAGATAGTTGTAAGTGTGTGGGCTTATTTCTGGTTTCTGTATTATGTTCCATTGGCCTATGTGTCTATTTTTGTGCCAGTGCCATGCTGTTTTTGGTTACTGTGTTCCTGTAGTATAGTTTGAAGTCAGGTAGTATGATGCCTCCAGCTTTGTCATTTTTGCTTAGGGTTGCTTGGTGCTGGGATAACTGGCTACCCATATGCAGAAGAAGATTGAAACTGGACCCCTTCCTTACACCTTATACAAAAATTAACTCAAGGTGGATTAAAGACTTAAGTGTAAAACACAAAACTATAAAAACCCTGGAAGACAATCTGGGCAATACCGTTCTGGACACAGGAATGAGCAAAGATGTCAAGACGAAGATGCCAAAACAATTGCAACAAAAGCAAAAACTGACAAATGGGATTTAATCAAACTAAAGAGCTGCTGCACAGCAAAATAAACTATCAACAAAGTGAACAGACGGAATGGGAGAAAATTTTTGCAAACCGTGCATCTGATAAAGTTATAATATCCAGAATTTATAAGGAACTTAAGCAAATTTACAAGAAGAAAAACAATCCCATTAAAAAGTGGACAAAGGACATGAACAGACACTTTGCAAAAGAAGGCATACATGCAGCTAACAATCATATAAAAAAAGCTCTACATGACTGATGAATAGAGAAATGGAAATCAAAACCTCAATGAGATACCATCTCATGCCAGTCAGAATGGCGAATATTAAAAAGCCAAAAACAACAGATGTTGGCAAGGTGGCAGAGAAAAAAGAACACTTACACACTTTTGGTGGGCATGTAAATTGGTTCAATTATTAAGGAAGACAGTGTGGCAATTCCTCGAAGACCAAAAACAGAACTACTATTTGATCCAGCAATCTCATTACTGGGTATATACCCAAAGGAATATAAATCATTCTGCCATAAAGACACATGCACATGAATGTTCACTGCAGCACTGTTCACAGTAGCAGAGACATGGAATCAACCTAAATGCCCATCAGTGGTAGACTGGATAAAGAAAATGTGGTACATACACACTGTAGAATACTATGCACACATGAAAAAGAACAAGAACTATGCACCCATAAAAAAGAACAAGATCATCCTTTGCAAAAACATGAATGGAGCTGGAGGCCATTGTCCTTAGCAAACTAATGCGGGAACAGAAAACCAAATACCGCATGTTATAACTTGCAAGTCGTGGTGAAACAATGAGAACACATGGACACATAAAGGGCAACAATGCACAGTATTGGACCTATTGGAGGGTGGAGGGTAGGAGGAGGGAGAGGATCAGGAAAAATAACTAATGGGTACTAGGCTTAATACCTGGGTGATAAAATAATCTGTACAACAAACCCCCATGACACAAGTTTACCTATATAACAAACCTGCCATGAACCCATGAACTTAAAATAAAAGTAATATTTAAAAAACACACAGAAGTTTTTGGGTTGTCTTGCTCCTACTACGAAAACCCTATGCAGTTTAAACATGACTAAGGACATTCTCCTTTTTAATAATACTTATCTAAGTCACAGACATCTCAATGTTCCAAGTTTCTAAATTACCCTTACAAGCTTCTTTCATTAGCTCCTATCTCGCTTTGGGCTCTCCCAGAGGCAGATTTGGGTGTAAGTAGTCTATAGGGAACGCGATGCTGGGAAGTACTGGTAGTGGCATGGTGAAAGTGAGACAGGGAAAAGAAGTAAACTGACAAAGTGTGGGTGCTCATACTAGTTACCACTGAACACAACTGCTGGCATTCAGCCTTACTGGGGACCTCTGAGGGATGGTGAAGAATCCACCTCATACTTATCCCAAAGGAGGGGCAGAGAAGTGGGTGTATTTTGCCACCAACTTCCCATTTGCCATTAGTTGAGAACTGCTTATGGGAGCATGACTCTCCAGCAGTTCTGACTTGTCCTGTACTGGCCCAGCATGCTCCCATGGTGAGGCAGAGGGTCCCAGAGTTTGCCATAAACAGCCTTAGGTGGGTGTGTAGAGGAGAACGCCAAGGGGCACTTACAGCTATCTATAGCATCTTCTGCCACAGCTCCTTTCACAGAGACCAAAGGATATGTGCCAAGACACAATCTCTGTGCTTCTGCTTTTCTCTCTTTATGTGCATTTATCAAGAGAAGTCATTGTATTACCCATCACTTCATTTAGCTTCTCTGTGCTGAAAATTTTTTGTCTGTATTTCATATTCTGTTTTCTCCCCGAAACTGTTTTCACATTCCTGGTTGTCAACAGCATAAGTCCACTTGGATATCTCATTGTCAACCTTCAAAATCCCAAATCCTTTCTCATTGTTATAGGAAAATTTCCATCATTCCACATATATTTTTTGAGCCCTAACTAGGATGCCAGGCATTGCCTAGGTAGTAGGGATATGCCAATCAATAAACTAGATTTGCCTTCACAGATTTTAATGTCTGAAGGCACATATAGGAATACAAGCAAATAAGCAGGTAATCCTAGATCAAAAAGCCCTGGGATATGGGGCAGGCTAGAGTGCTATGGGAGACAGTGGAAGGGCCTATGACCTGTGCATAAGGATTCAGGAAAGCTTCTTGAAAGAAGTGAGGCTCACGGTTCACAATTGCAAATATGTGGAACCAACCTAAGTGTCCACTGACTAATGAATGAATAAAGAAAATGTGGGGGCCGGGCACGGTGGCTCATGCCTGTAATCGCAGCACTTTGGGAGGCCGAGGCGGGTGGATCATGAGGTCAGGAGATTGAGACCATCCTGGCTAACATGGTGAAAACCCGTCTCTACTAAAAATACAAAAAATTAGCCGGGCTTGGTGGCGGGCACTTGTAGTCCCAACTACTCGGGAGGCTGAGGCAGGACAATGGCGTGAACCTATGTATACACCATACTACTCATACCAACACTACTCAGCCATTAAAAGGAAAGAAAGACTGTCTTTTGCAGCAACTTGGATGGAGCTGGAGGCCATTATTCTAAGTGAAATAACAGAGGAGGGGAAAACCAAAAACCGTATATTCCTACTTATAAGTGGGATCTAAGCTATGAGTATGCAAAGGTATACAGAGTGATATAATGAACTTTGGAGACTCAGAAGGGGGAAGGTGGAAAGGAGGCCAGGGATGAAAAACTACACATTAAATACAATATATGCTATTTGGGTGACAAGTGCACTAAAATCTCAGAATTCACCACTATATAATTCATCTATGTAACAAAAAACCACTTGTACCCCAAAAGCTATTGAATTTTTTTTTTGTAAAGGCCCAGAGTGAGACCAAAAGCATAAACAGAAAGTAGTGATTGTTATCATGGTTATCTTCCCAAGACTCAGCACAGGGCCCAGAGCAGACTAAGTTCCCAATTAATGTTTGACAAATGCATGAATAAGGAAAAAACATCTTGGACAGAGAAAAAAATAGATGGGAGACTCAAAGTTTTGAAAGGAAGTGCTTTGCATTTTGCCAAATAGAAGGACTATTTGTTTTTGTTTTGTTATTATTTTTTTTTTTTTGAGACAGGCTCCATCTGTTGCCCAGGCTGGAGTGCAGTGGCATGATCTTAGCTCACTGCAACCTCCACCTTCCGGGTTCAAGCAATTCTCCTGCCTCAGCTTCCCAAGTAGCTGGGACCGCAGGTGCCTGCCACCCTGCCCGGCTAATTTTTGTATTTTTAGTAGAGACAGGGTTTCGCCATGTTGGCCAGGCTGGTCTCAAACTCCTGACCTCAAGTGATCCACCCACCTCGGCCTTCCAAAGTGCTGGGAGTACAGGCGTGAGCCACTGCGCCCAGCTTAGAAGCACTCTTGTATGGATAGGAAATTGATTAATCTTCATCTGGGCTGAATAATAGAGTAGAGGAGAAATATTCAGTCCAATAGATAGAAATGTGACTGCAAAGTTGTAGCATCCACTGTGCACTCCCTTCTAGCTCCAATAACATTTTGAGCAGTTAAGTAGTAAAAGCACTAATCTAGTCTTGGGGAGTAGAGAAGGATCCCCAGGAAATGTGAGATTCAAATTGAGACCTGATGGATTCAGAAGATGTCCTAAAGAGCAGTGGTGATGGTAGTGGCAGACAAGGAGGTGGAAGAATATCCCAGGCAAGGAAACAACTCATTCAAGGATGAAAGCTCGGAGACTTGGCAAGTTCAGGTGATAATGCAAGCAATTCAGTACTTCGGCGGGAAAGATGAGGCAAGAGGCTGAAGGATCCTGATATTTAGTCTTACAGTTCATGTTAAGATATTTGGGGTACATGGAATGATGGGATCAGGTAGAAGAAAGGGTAAGATGGTGAGAAAATCAGGCTGGCTAGTCACCCACACAAGATTTCTCAAGGTTAACGTATGTGTCCCCATGTTCCAAGCCTCATCCCTGACTTCACAGTGTTAGAAAGTGGCTTCCATCAGCATAAGGACCAGGGATTGTTTTCTAGTGGAGAGATTCACAGAAACAGAACTCCCAAGCAACCATTTTTATAAATTGTATGACTTTTCCAGTGACCAGTACCTTCATGTCTCCTACATGGATCCTCTCCTCTTTTTTCCTAACCAGCAGCTAGGCATCAGAAGGCTACTTCTCAAGTTGGAATCAAAGAAAAGATACAAGGAAAGTATATTGAGAGAGGTTTCACCCAGTTTCACGCAAGGCTGTGACTCTTAACCCTGACTGTACATTAGAATCACTTGGGGAGCTTTTTAAAGTTACCGATTCCCCTTTGAAACCAATGATCAGGTTGGTGCAAAAGTAATTGCAGTTTTAATTAAAAGCAATTGCACAAACTGCAATTACTTTTGCACCAACTGATGGATCAGAATCTCTGAGAGTGAGCCCCAGTTTATTTTTGTGAGCCTCTTCCATGATTCTAATGCTCAGCCACTGATCTCACCAGCAAAGCTGTCTCATCAGGTTACAGCAGCGTCCAGATCAAAACCACAGTTACTTTTGCACAAACCTGATAATTGGTCTTGGAAGTGAATCAGTAAATTTAAAAAGCTCCCCAAGTGATTCTAATATACTGTCAGGGTTAAGAGTCACAGACTTGCGTGAAATTGGGTGAAACCTCTCTCAATATACTTTCCTTGTATCTTTTCTTGGATTCCAACTTGAGAAGTAGCCTTCTGATGCCTAGCTGCTGGTTAGGAAAAAAGAGGAGAGGATCCATGTAGGAGACATGAAGGTACTGGTCACTGGAAAAGCCATACAATTTATAAAAACGGTTGCTTGGGAGTTCTGTTTCTGTGAATCTCTCCACTAGAAAACAATCCATGGTCCTTATGCTGATGGAAGTCACTTTCTGAGACTGTGAAGTCAGGGATGAGGCTTGGAACATGGGGACACATATGTTAACCTTGAGAAATCTTATGTGGGTGACTAGCCAGCCTGGATACACAATGCCAACTTTCTTGTCTGTGGCCCCAGGTTTTCTAGTTTCTGTTGCAAACCACCTCTGTTTCATTGAAATATTCTTTCTTTTTTATTATAAAATATTTCAAATATACAGGAAAATCAGAAGAACAGTGACCAACTATAAGCCCAATACCAAACTTTGCCATGTCTCATCATTTAGTACATGTGCTTCAGAATTTTTACAATAAAATAACAGCTATAAAGCCCCTTGTCCAATCCAAGTTCCCTCCTTCTACACTTAGAGGTAAGCACTATCCATAAAGTGGCATTCATCCTTTCTATGGATGTTTTATCATTTTACCAAAATTAGATACATTTTAAAACAAATGCATGTTGTTAAAAATGTATGCAAAACAGTACTGTTTCATATAGTCGTGATTTTTATATAAATGGCATCATCCTTCATGTATCCTGCAATTTGCCATCTTTGCTTCAGTATGACTTTGAGTGCCATGCTAATGCATGTAGCTTTAATTCAATCATTTTCACTGATGCATAAATCATTAAAAATTGTATAAATGCTTGAGTTTCTCTTGGGTGTATATAGAGGTGTAATTGTTGGGTCAATACATGTATACATCTTTAATTTTACTAGATATGAATAAATTATTTTCCAAAGTAGTTCTAATTTTATGAAACTCCTTGATAATTCTCAAAATTCTATAACACTTTCCCTTCTACAATATGTGAATGCTGGCAGAAATCATTTATAAAGCAGCATATACAGACACAGAATATTGAGACAAGGAAAGGGACTAAAAGTAAGTTAGCCATTAAAGAAGATGTTATGCTAAGAGAAATAGTGTACTACATTATTGCATGATGAAACTGGAAACTGCCTTCCAACTCAGTGGAAGCATCCTTATTTTTCGAAACAGACTTCAGCAAAGAGAAGTGGAAGAATTATGACAAAATTTACTGACAATTGAATGAATTTTCAACAGTTTAACATTAAACTGAAGTGAGAGAGTGATACAATGTGAGAGTAAACTATAATTAATCCAGTAGAAGAGAGACATAAACAAACAACAACAATAAAACCTTTTACTGAGCCCTGAAGCAGAGCTTCTTTGTGAGATTATGTGCTTTCCCTCTTCTCAAAAGCTAAGGTAGAGGCTGAAGTCCAGTCCAAATTAGGCTTCCCAGCACTGGGCTCTTTCTGCCTGGAGGAAGAGGCCTGTTCTAGAAGTTATTGCAAGGTGCTACAAAGTACATCAACAAATTTTCATAACTGCTATTAAGCTTTCAAAACCACCAGACAAAGAAATAGGAATGGATTGTAAATTCCCTAGAGAAAAACTACATGTCTAACTACTTCGAGCAAATCCATGTTTTATTACTTATGGTACTTCTTATACAAAATGCTTTGGAGAAGTAAAATTGTTAGGATGTATGATGGACAATATACTGGGGAATTATTACCTGTAATTTAGGATGGCTGAAAACATTCACTATGTTAAAGGAGAAATAGTTACTAATAGAAGTAGTAAATATCTTTAGATACAATGGTTTCTTAATATTTTCGTGCATTATTTAACTTTGACATATGAACTATTTTCTAAAACTTATGAAGGAAGAAAGATTTTCTTTCCTTTGATTGGCCATATACTGGCAGTGGAACTTGAAATGACTACTAATTACCACTTTAAATTATACGTTATCTGGCAAGAATTTATAGATTTTCTAGGAGGCTAATAGTTGGGGAATGAAGTCGATTTTACGTATCTTTGCTCCCTGTTAATTGGAATTAAAAGTGATATTGAATGTGTGTAAATGTATTTCAGTATATTGACTAACTATTGTCTTGTGATTATAAGTTACAGACCCTTTCTGAACTTTGACCTTTTCATATATTTGCTATATTTCCAAATATTAGCTGTTATTGTTCTACTTCTATTCTATATATGGTATTTTTATATAAATGGCATACACACACACACACACACACACACATATATATATATATATAGAGAGAGAGAGAGAGAAATCTCAAATTGTTTTGTGTTACCAATGATCTAGAAAGTTTGGAACTGTTTATAAAATAAAGGTTTTATTAGGTATATTGTCGCTGTTGTTTTTATTGCTTTTAAGTTTAGAGGCTTTTTTTTTCGTCTTCAAATCATGTAAGCTAAAGTGAATATACTCATTTGGAGCCTTTCCCAATGTGTTAAACTTGCTTTAATAAGTTTATCAACTTTTAATGTATATTGTTACTCCTGTAACAGAGAAATTCTATTTTTAGCTTGGTTAGTTGTGTTGTCACATATTAATAAGTAACTTTACAGCTTATTAATTCTGAAGAAATTCAAAAGTACTTCACTTGATTACACTGTCGTATTTCCAGTATTGAGAATAAGGCTTTCTAATGCCTCTTAATATTCAAATTGAACTCCAACATATGAAAATCATTTTGCTTCCTATCAGAATACCAAGTACTCTTGCGTTTTAAAAATGCTTCTGCAAGTTCTTACTTTAGGCTGGGCATGATGGCATGAGTTTGAGGCCAGTCTGAACAACATAGCAAGATCCCATTTCTAAAAAAATTAATTTAATTAAAAAAATAAAATTTTACTTTGTAAAATTGTAAAATTTCACTTGGTAAACTTGTATGTATATTTCAATTAACTACCAATTATCTGTATATCTTGGCAGTGTCTTTTCTCAATCTTCAGTGAAAAAGTTTTTAAAAACTTGATTGCTGATAAATTAGGGAAGGGAAAGTAATTTATTTTTAATAAAATACTATTCTAAATGTTTCAGATTTAGTTTTGTGTCATCACTAAATTATATTAAGTTACATCACTAAAGTAAATTAGTTTATTAAAGTTCTTTTTAAACTGAAGTCTCGGTAAAGAAGATCAACTATAGGACTTCTCCACATGTCAGGGAGAAGTAGAAATAAAGATGATGAGACATGACCAATCCTGTGTCTTCTTGAAGCCAAAGATATTTGTTTAAATGAAGATTTGGATAAACTCCAAGGTAAACAAAAGGGCTATTAAGAAAAGGTAGGGAATTCTGGAAGGAGTGTGAAAGGACACCCTCTTCCACTACTTACTGGCCCCTCACTGTTCTTCAGTATCACGGCCACCTCTGGAGGCAGACATAGGATGACCCGATGACAGCAATCCATCTCTGTTCCCAAAGGGTATTCTGCATCCCTTAAAACTGTGAGGGGTCAAGCCTTTGTTTCAGTACCTCATAAACACAAAATCTGAAATAAGTAAAATACAGTAAAATATGATATGCAAATCCATGAGTTTTGCAGGAAGACAGGTCCAAATGGCAGGAAAATCTCTTTCTGCTTTGACTGGAAGGAATGAAAACAGAAATGGTGATGAAATGCCTGCAAAGCATTAGGCAGTTTGGAAAGTCCCTGCAAATGTCCCTGTCCCCCATCCTCCAGACCACCCCACACCATTATCACGACTAGCAACATGACCAGGTCACACAGATGTTTGACCATTTTTGTGGACTGCTCATTGATTAGCATTATGTGACAGAAGTATTCCGAGGCAGCTTACTGCTTACTGTAGAAGGTGCTGGTTTTCAGCGAAGATAGTCAAGTGGTTTGGAAGGGGAAAGAATTATCTTAGCCGGAATCTAGACACTGATTCTACTCATTCTGATACTACATTAATTCTGCTTTGCAAAGGGGAAAGAATATTCCTTCTTATTTGACTCCTAAATGAACTTCTTTCACTATTTTGAGGGCCCAACATCCCACACACCCCAGGCCAGTGCGGAAACCCCCTAAAGGAAGCAGTTCCTCTTCTTTTTGGATAACTGGCCAGATTTTTTTCCAGGAAATCTCTAGGATTCATTTTGTTTTTTTACATATGACTTTTATGTTGTATTCAAGATACCCAAACTCTAAGTAATGTAAGTTTATTAGATTGCAAAACATTGCAACTGTTTTAAAACTCCATATTAGTGTCATGACAGGAAACCATAACTGATTTTTAAAATACTTGAATTGGGAAAAATTAAGTCTCATGGAGAGTGATTCTCTTCTCTTGCAGCCACCTGCATGGTCTCTACCATGCCCCTACACTTGCTATGTGTTCTTGGCAATACCCCAGGAGGTTCAGACAATAGCTCATCAACACTGAGAACCACAACTTGCAGATGTGGTAGCCCCATTTACACAATGGCAATTGCTTTGTGCTGGAGCAAGGATCTCATCCACAACCTATGGTCTAAGGGTAACTTGTGCATAAATAGAATTCTGCTGTAAGGCAGGAGGACTAGAGATGGTTTAGAATGGCTTGATATCAATCTCCTTTATAATTCAGCAGAAGCTAGGAAGTTCCAAAGCTGATCATGGAAACAGATACTATCTTAGGATAAATCATAGATTGGGAAACATTTTGCTAAGGACTTCTGGTTGGTGCATTCTGGTTGCTGTTGACAGCAAACATACCCTCTCTTCTTGATCTATCTGCAGTAATGGCCCCTTATACCTTTCTAATATTCATCATTACTTTTATTTTTGTCCCTCTGTTTATTCTTGATCATTCTCACTGGTCATTTGACAAATTAATTAGATTTTTTAAGAACCCAACTTGGCTCCTGTTTTTGATGTCACTGATTTTTTGTTTTAATTTTACTATCTCCTTTCTTCGGATTTTTTTTTCTGACCTCTTAAGACAATATATCTAATATCTCTTTCTAAAACCCGCATTAGCTGTATCCCATAAATTTTAATGTTTTTTTCTCCTATGGCTCAGTTTGAAAAACACACTAATATATGTTCGTTTCTATTATGATTTTTTTCTGCCCTATGTATAAGTTAGACATGTCTATCTTAATTTTCAAACATACAGTTTTTAAAAAGTATTTATTGATTATTAATTTCTAGCTCAATGGCGTAGAGATCAGAGAACATATTCCACATGATTTCAATCTTTGAAGTTTTTCGAGACTTGCCCTATGATCTAGCTTGCAATCAATTTTTGTACATTAGCTTTCTGTATCTGAAAAAGGATGTCTTCTGCATTTATCAGGCGCAGTGTTCTATAAGTTCCCTATGCCTTGCAAGTTAATCATGTATAAATTTTCAATTTATTTGCTAATTTTATCAACTTATTCTATCAATTATCAACAGATAAAATGTATCTGTGAATTTAAATTTGCATTGTAAATTTGTCTGTTTCTTCTTGTAGTTCTGTTGAATTTGTCTTAAATGTTTTGAAGATACACTATTATATGTAGAAAAACTTAAAATTATTATATCATCTAAGTGAACTGTTCTTAAATTTTCTTTTGTCAACAATTGATATAATTACATATATCTTTTACTACTGTTTACATAACATATCTTTTTCCATTACTGATTTTCAAGTTTTCTTTATCTTTAGGGTTTTTTAAATACAGTTTTATTAAACCATAATTCATATACCATGCAATTCATCCATTTAAAGTATGCAATTCAATGACTTTTAGTATATTTACAAATACATTTAGTCATTACTAGAGTCCATTTTAGAACATTTTCATCACCTGAAGAATACTCTTTTAGTGTCATCCTCTATCCACTCCCTATTATCCATCCTCCCTTTATACTCCCCTCCGCTGCTAAGCAATCACTGATCTATTTCCTGTCTCTATAGATTTTCCTGTTGCAGACTTTCACGTGAATGGAATCATATAATGTGTGGACTTTTGTTATTGGCTTCCTCCAGTTAGCATAATGTTTTCATGCCTCATCCAAGTTGTAACATATCAGTACATCATTCCATCTTATGGTTTTTTCCGTTATGTGGATGTACACACTTTGTTTATCCATCAATCCGTTGATTGACATTTGAGTCATCTCTACCTTTTGACTGTTATGAATAATGCTGCTATGAACATTCATGTACAAGTTTTTGTGTGAACATATGCTTTCATTTCTATTGGGTATTTACCTAGGAGAGGAATTGCTGGGTTTAATCATTTGAGAAACTACCAGATTGCTTTCCAAAGTACCTGCACCATTTGATATTCCTGCCAGCAGTGTACAAGGGTTCCAGTTTCACTACATCCTCATCAGCACTTTTTATTATCTGATTGTTTAATTTCAGCCATCCTGGTGAGCTTTGATTTCTGTTTCTAGTGGCCCGAAATTCTACAAGAATCAAAGCTCAAATTCTCCCACACCCCTAAAATGACCTAGTAGATTTCCACTTTCTCTTTTATGTTGCCCTAATAATTTCTCTTATACATTCTGATTATATATATTTATAGGGATATCTAGATAGATGATAGATAGATAGATATATAGATAGATAGGCAGGATGGATGGACAGATAGGATAGATAGATCGATCTAAACACACACACACACACACATACACACACACACACACACACACGTATTTCAGCACTTAGGGTTGTTTTCAGTGGAATAATTCATCCAGTTAACCTAGGACATAACATTACTGAAAATAGAATTCCATTCTTTTACCCATTTTAATTGGTATATCGTTCCTATGGGTATGTAGCAGTTCTTCACATGTTCTACATAACAGTCTCCTTTTTAGTTATATGTATTGCAGATGACTTATGTCTTATGTAAGTCATGTGGTTGTGCTCTTGTAATAATATATTTTAACAAATGAAGTTTTTAGTGTTAATATACTTGAATCCATCAAACTTTTCCTTTATCATTTGCATTTTCATGTCTATTATAAGAAATATTTCCTTACCCCAAGGTCATAAAAGTACTCTCATATATAGGTTCTTCTACATTTTTTAATGTCTTACCTTTCATGTTTAAGCCATCATCCATTGGGAATAGAATTAATATGTATGAGGTTTGGATTGATTTTATTATTCCATTATATGTAATGAATTGTCCCCAAATTATTTGTTGAATAGTCTCTCTCATCTTTCACCAGCAATCTTCAGCACTACCCATGCCATGAAGCTACTTTCTATATATGAGGTCTTTCTCTTTTTTCTTATTAATCTATTTTTCTACTCATTCATCAATACCACACTATCCTAAATATTAAGAATTTAGGTCTTGATACCTACTAGAACAAGTATCAGGAAGTGTCACTTTTACTGTTTGTGTCCCTTTGCTATGATGTATTTTAGAACGACATTGTCAGGTTCCTTTAAAAATGTTAAATTTTGACAAAAATTGCATTGACTATACATTTGATCAGTTTGTAGAGAGCTCATATATTTTTTAATCAAGTTGTCCTATACATGAATGTGCTTATTTCTTGATTTATTTAGGTCACATTCACTTTACCTGAATAAAATGTTATAATTTTCTCCATAAAGATTCTTCAACTATTCTGTTAGATTTATTCCTATTACGCACTTTTAGTAAGCATCCTCTTCTTAAGATTTAAAATGAGCTCAGTTTAAAACAAAATGCTTCTAATATTTTACCATAAGGAAAGATATTTGCTGCAGGTATTTTTTGCAAATATCTTTATAGGGCTAAGGGAACTCTTTTCTATTTCTCTGTAGTTTAAAGGGCTTTTAAAAATCGGTTAAATTTTATTAAATCTTTTTTTTTTTTTTTTTTTTTTTGAGATGCAGTCTTGCTCTGTCGCCCAGGCTGGAGTGCAGTGGTGCAATCTCGGCTCACTGCAAGCTCCGCCTCCCGGCTTCACGCCATTCTCCTGCCTCAGCCTCCCAAGTAGCTGGGACTACAGGAGCCCGCCACCATGCCCGGCTAATTTTTTGTATTTTTAGTAGAGATGGTATTTCACCGTGTTATCCTGGATGGTCTCGATCTCCTGACCTCATGATCCGCCCGCCTGGGCCTCCCAAAGTGCTGGGATTACAGCCGTGAGCCACTGCACCCGGCCAAATCTTTTATGAGTTTATGTTTGTGGTAGATTTTAATCTGTTGAAAACTATCTTTGTAATCCTAGCACTTTGAGGACATGGCAGGAGGATTGCTTGAGGCCAGGAGTTTGAGACCAGCCTGGGCAACAAGGGAAACCCTGTCTCTACAGAAATCTTTAAAAATAGCCATGCATGGTGGCATGTGCCTGTAGTCCCAGCTACTGTGGTGAGGCAAGAGGATCACTTGAGCCCAGGAGTTCGAGGCTGCAGTGAGCTATGATAGTGATACTGCACTCCAGCCTGGGCAACACAGCAAGATACTGTCTCTAACAAAACAATACAAAAAAACTGAAGGATGGTTCCTCTGAAGAAGAATGTGTTTCCTTCAGTTAGAAGCCAGAGGACCACAACAGCACTCGGCTTAATTCAAGTATCTTAAGTCAAATTGCCTACCTTGTGCAACTCCCTGCATATAAAGCTTAGTCAATTGTAGTAAAAATTAACACAGGACAACCTCCTTTGTGTACACCTACAAATCACTGCTCCAATTTTAGTTCCATTTACCTTTTTTTCAAAATTGTCCCCATTGGCACCAACATGTATGTACTCTGGATTTTGTTTATTATAAACAACTACAAAATCCTTTTGATGTATGTCTAATGTCTTAAGCATATTACAGGATGAAAACTCTGTGCAGAATCCCCATTTTCTCATGAGATTTGTGTATTTATTCATTCAAAAAATTTCTATGAAGTGTCTACCATGGATCAGGCAATATTCATGGAACTAGGGGGCTCGAACATAGAGAAACAGACAGACAAAAAAACAAAATATTTCCTTCATGGATCTTACATTGTAAGAGAGACAAACACAAATGAGGTCATTGTAAAATATATAATGTGTTCAATGGAGCTAAGTAGTAAGAGAAGAAAAATAGACCAAAGAAGGGGATATGAATGGAAAGGGAGGTAAAAGTGTAAGAGGATATCTAGGAAAGATCTCACTGAGAAGGTATCTTCGAGTAAAGACTAGAATGAAATGAGGGAGCTGGCCACTGGGGCTATTCAGGAGAAAAACAATCTGGACAGAGCAAACAAGACCCTCCGAGGGCAAAGGACCCCAGTCAGAGTGCAAAGAATACTAGAGCAGCAAAGGCCATTGTGGCCAGAGGGAGAAAAGAAGGAGAAAAGGGTCAAAGATGAACTCAGAGAAGTTAAAGGAAAGCAGATCACATTGGACTGAATGGATCATAGTTATGACATTGCCTTCTACTTTGAATGAGATAGGAAATTATTGGAGGGTTTGGAGCAGAAGGCAGTGATTTCTTTTTTCCTGACAAACATGTAAACAGGATCACTGCAAGATACTAGACACCAACACACTCATCTACAGAGGAGTTGAGTTTTTGTGTTGCTGAGAAGTGTTTATTAATAAAAATATATTTGGGAAATTTATGAGGGCAGACAAGAATAAGCATGAAAAGAATCATGAATCTAACTGTAAAATAAATGAAACAATACACGTGCAAGAAGAAAACATGGATGAATTATTGTGTAACCTGGAGAATGGTTTTTAAAACCATGGCTCCTAATCCAGATGCAATAAAAGAAAAGATTTATCAACTTGACTGCATTAAAACAGACAATGCTTACAAGGCAAAACGATGCCATAAACAAAGTCAAAAGACAACTGACAAACTGGGAGGAAACATTTGCAAAACACATCCAGAATAACAATCCTAATATATATAAATAAGTCTCAAACATTGAGAGAGGAAAAGGCAAATATACATGATAAAAATATATTTTATAAATGTTCAGCGTTACTCATAGGGAATGCAAATTAAAGCTACACTGAGATAAAATGTCTCATTTATTAGACTGACTAAAATTTAAAACCATGATGACAGCACATTAGATTAATGAGGTGCTCTCACACAGTTTTGTAGGAATATATGTGGTACAACTCTTATTAAGGAAATTTGGCAATATCTAACAAACCTACATATGTGTTTACCATTTGACCCAGCAATCCCACTTCTAGGAATTTGAACTGAAGACATGCTTCTAACAGCAGAAAAATAAATATTCACAAAGTTACTCTTTAGAGCATTAAAAACAACCAAACTGTCCATACATAGGGAGATGGTTGAATAAACTATGGCATATCCACACAGTGAAGTATTGCATGCAACTGTAAAAATGAATGAGGAATATTTGAATTTGTAGGAAATAGTGGATTCCAGCATATTTGTTAAGTTAAAAAAGAAATGTGCAAAAGAATACCTATAGCATGCTTTTAAAATGTAATAAAAAAGGAGAACTAAGAAGACAAATGTGTAGCAGCTCATTTGAGCAAAACTAAGGACAAACCAGAAACTACTGAAATTGAGTACCTATGGTGGAGAGGATAGAGGTGATGGAGAGAAGTGACATTTCCCTTTTATTGTGTCTTTTTATATCAATCTGACATTTGGGACTACGTTAATGTTTTATTTAAGCAAAAAAAAATCAAAAAGATTGAGGGGAAACTAAAATAGAATACAAAGAGAAACAAATTAACAGTATTTTGAATGAATAACAATCACACTGAAGAGGGGGAATAATCTGAGTAACTTTGGAACACAACAATGCTGTTTTTATATTTTCGGGCTATAAACAAAATAAAACTTTAAAAACGAGTAGATTTGATTTCCATCATAGTATAGAAATAGCAATTTTAAACTTCTTTCTGTGTATTCTAGGATTAAGCAAATAAGTAAATATATTGTGGATCTAGGTGTCTCACTGTTGAAGAAGGGAGTTACACATGCAGAAAGAGGGAAGGACAGAATGAACTCTATGCTAACGGACTGAAATTGGAAGAATCACTGTGAATTCATGACATATATAAATATAGATATGGGAATGGATATACATATATATATATAATACATATCCTTGCTCTGTCTGCTGAGAGGGTGCGGAAACAATGATACTCCAATAAAAATGAACACACTTAGCATCCAATTCTGGCATCTAAATGCCATTCTCTGCCAGAAAGAACCAGCATTCCTTGGAGAAACAGCAAATTCCAGTGTCAGGTCTAGAGGTGAGTCTGGAGCATTTTTTTTTGTGTGTGTGCCAGAAAGTAAGGAAGTGCTCAAAGAACAATAAGAACAAGTCAAAATGACATAGGAACTATTTTGAGGGCTCCCACTGGCCCGATCAGGGAGAATTTAAGCATCAAAATAAATAATGGTAGCCATGAATTATGACCCATTGAGTAAATAAATAAAATTCATATTGATATAGTTTATGCTGATATAGATAAATGAATAAATAAATAGAGAAGGGAAAACTTTTATTTACAGTAAAATGCCAACAGATGAATATAGAAGTAATTATTAAATTAGGAAAAAACACCCTTTGACAACCATCATAGTAAAAATTGATTCAAGAAAGGATCATCAATAGACGCTAAAATTTGTGGGTAAAAATTTGATGAAAAAATGAGGAATTTACATAGTTTTAAAGTATCTCCCTATAAAATACTTATTAATTACAAAGGGAAAAATACTGAGTCTACACTAAGAAACATGGCAGGCACCATCTTAACTAAGTGATCAAAGTTACCACCACCAGTAATAGGACAAATAGACAACATATGCCTCCCCGTAAGGATAAGACATCCTTTCTGGTATTCCTGTCAAATAATTAGATTCAATAACCTGAATCTATCATGAAGAAATGATAGACAAATCCAAATTGTGGGGTGTGATCCTGTCTCCTGACATTACCATCCACGTATACTGCCCTCCTACACTGAAAAGGGCTGATCTGTACAATCAATTGGATATTCTGGAGTTAACATATTGTGATTTCTGAGGACAGGTCACAAAGGACATTATGGCTTCTTCTTTCTTGTTCTCAGAGACGCTAGCTGGCATGTCACGAGGACACTCAACACACAAGCAGCGAGCCCTATGGCAAAATCCACGTGGTGAAGAATGAAGCTTCCAGCCAAAGGCTGGTAAGTGAGCCATCTTAGATGTGGATTCGCCTATCCCAGTTAACCCTTCAGATGACTGCACCTCCAGCTGGTGTCTTAACTGCAATCTCCTGAGCGATCCCAAGCCAGAACCACCTGACCGACCCACAGAAACTGTGAGATCATAAATGTTTATTCTTGCTTTACACCACTACCTTCAGGGTAATTTGTTATTATAATAGATAACGGACTTAAAAGTCATTCTCCAAAAATAATTGTGGTGTATTCGTCAAAAATGTAAAGGTCATGCAATACCAAAAATGCTGAGGACATTTTTCCAGAATAAAGAACTGGGGGTGGGGGGAAGGCATAATGATCAAACACAATACATGATCCTGAAATGATTCTGGACCAGGAAAAACAAAGGTTGGTTTCTATTGTTGTTATTGTTTTTACCATAACACAGGTTATTGAGATGATTGTCAAAATTTAAATACAGATGGTAGCTTATAGTCTTGTGTCAATGTTAAGTTCTTATTTTTGATCATTGCACTCTAGTTATGGAACAGAAAGTCCTTAGTGAACCATTTAGAATAGGAATAAATGCTAGATGGTTCCAAAGTAATAATTATATAATTATAATTATATAATCACATATATGTACATATATGTCTATAGAGAAAGAATAGAGAATGGTAAAGAAAATACAGCAAAATGTTAACATGCAGAGAATCTGGGTGACAAGTATATGGGAATTCTCTGCAGTACTCTTGAAACTTTTCTGTAGAGATTACTTCAAAATAAAGAACAGAGCAGAAGTGGCTGCTGTTCCTAAATTCCCTAAGTAAACTTACACTGCTTTTTCAAACTGGGAGATGAATCCACTAATAGGTTTTGAAATGAGTTTGGTGGATTTCTAATAAGAATAGGATAGCCTAGCCTAGTCTAGCATAACACAGCATGGCACAGAGGACGAACATTGTAGATTACTAAGGGTGAGTACTAACTTGTGAAAGTTTTGTTTAAGTTCTAGTAAGAGAAACAAGTGAGTGTAGTGGGTTGCGTGGTCAAAAAAGTGGGGAAGCCACCGCAACGAGGGGTGAGTCTGAGCCAAAGAGTGGCTCAGAGCTCCCCGCCCACCTCGTGCCGGGCCGTCCCTCCCGCTTGTCCCACCCTCACCGGCGCCGCGTCAGCCCCCAGGCCGCCTGCAGGTGTGCGCTCAGAACTAGCACGTGTGCCGGACACTATTTAAGGGCCCGCCTCTCCTGGCTCACAGCTGCTTGCTGCTCCAGCCTTGCCCTCCCAGAGCTGCCGGACGCTCGCGGGTCTCGGAACGCATCCCGCCGCGGGGGCTTCGGCCGTGGCATGGGCGCCGCGGGCCTGCTCGGGGTTTTCTTGGCTCTCGTCGCACCGGGGGTCCTCGGTGAGCTGGGAGGGGGAGCACGGAGGTGGGGACGCGTCCCGGGCAGGGAAAGTTTCTGTGCCGCGATGCAAAGCAGGGGGCCAAAAGCGAGACGGTGGGGGCAGTGCTCGACGCGTGTCCGCCTCCCGCTAGCTTTGAGGGACCACTGCAATAAACCGCCTGGTCCTGATTGTCCCCACTGGCCCCTCCGGGAGCTGGGACCTCCAGAATTGGAGGCTGCGCCACAGAGGGGCGCTGTCTGGTCGGCCCGGTGTGGCTGGCGGCGTGCGGGTGCTCGCGGTCTCCTGCCGGGCTCCCCGCCCCCAGGATTCTGCAGGTGCTCATCGCTCTCTGGCCGGCGGTCAGCGCTACCGCTCGCCACGGGAAACCTACCCACTGCATGAGGCACCAGCTAGCCACGTGAGGCTGTTTCTGTACACCCGAACCGCGCTCTTGCCCAGCAAAAGCGGCAGAACCTCGGCTCCCTTCCCTAAATAAGAGTAAGACCTGGTTCCCAAGCATGGGTCTCAGATTTTCTGAACTCTAATGTGATATTGGTAGAGATCCTAAACATTAACCATCCGTAGTTATTTTTGAGACATGGATTAAAACTATTGTTTTCTTCTTGTTATTAACCTACTGTAATGGTGTGGACGTCCGCAAAGGTCTCATTCACCGTTTATTATATCTTTTTTTCCTCCAGATTGGCTTGATTTTAAAGAAAGATTATAATTAAGATTAGCGTCTCTTGGCTACAGGATGGGTCTAAGTTTCTAATTATCTCCACGGTACCGTGCATTCCTAGTTTATAAGACGTTTACTGTGTGCAGACCTCAATAACTGGGTGACTTTTGGCAAGTCATTTAGCTCCCTGATCTTCAGTTTCTTCATCTGTAAAATGAAACTAGTGATTAACTGGCCTTCCACCTCACTGAGCTGCCCTGAGCACAGATGAAACTAAGCAAAGAAAGTTGGATGTTAGTCGTTACTACTAAATATCAGTAATAAGCCTCCTGTACAGACTTGATTTTATGGAGCCAGCATTTAAGCTAACAAGCTGGGTGTCCAATTGTTTCTATGGACATCCAGCTTATTGAGGTGTCTGGAATACAGCACATATTAGTTTATTACAACTTTTTGCTTTCCTGACATTTTACTGTCTCCTGACCCTTAAACCTTTCTCCAGACCATTATCTTCATCTCTTTTCTTTTTCTGCATATTAACTCCCTTTGAACAAATGTATATTCACACTTTTTCTAAGAGCAGAGTACGTCCCTGACTTCTCACCTATTTCTAAATTTCAAAGAGGATATTATCAACTGAAAATCAAATTCTTCACCAGTCCTGCCAATTCAGGGCCACAGCAGCAGCATCATGTAGGTCACTTAACTGGAGCCCCATGAAATACCAGGTCTACCTATCAGCCATTCAAGCTACTGTGCTTCTGTTGTTTGTCCATTTCTCATTTTTGTACCAGTATTCCCATCCTAAGCATTATAATTACCTGTGTAACAACCTCATCTCTTTTAAGAGATTTTGGTTCTTATGATTGGAAAGGTTAAAGAGTGACCTATAGGTCACTTTCCAATTATGAAAACAAAAAATTAAGAAATATATATATTTTCATTATTTCACTCCATTGTTCAAAAATCTAAAAGGCCTCCAGTGGAAGAAAATCTGGTGTCTTCAGCCTTTCTAGCCCTTTGGAATGGGATCTCACCGAAGCTCACACCCCCTGATTTCTCCAGCTGCCTGTCTTGTATGCGCTGCTCATGGTCTTCCCCACCTGTCTCCCATGGCTCATGCTTTGCCCACTCTCCACTGCTAACTTTTACTGCTACTGCATGCTCTCCACACATCATCTCTTGGCCAGTTCCTGCACTTGAGTGTGCTTAATAAAATACTAAAGTACCTTTATAAAATGTAGGTTCCTGGTTCCACCTCCCCCTCCAGAGGTTCATAGGTTTGGAGTTAGCACAGGAAAGCTGAGGTTTAACAATCACTCTAGAAGATTCTGCAACAAGTATCTATAGGGCACACTGCTATAAGCAAAGTCAATGGAAGCAAATTTCCTTTTTAGTGTTTTCCTATTTTTCCTTTTGTCTATTTGCATAAACAGTTTCAAATTTCCTACACTTCTAGATTTTACTCAAGCCTTCAGTGGCCACCTAACTTTATCCTATGCTGAGAAAACAAAACCATGAAACAAGAATGCTCCCATTTTCTAATCGGCTACAAACCTACCAACTTACAAACTTACCTCCATCTAGAATCAGATTTTGTTCTCCACTGCAGAAAACCTGCTGAGGCCTTCCCGTCACATTAGAATAAAACCCATACCCCTTATTCTCCAGTCTGAGGCCTTCTGCCTCTCCCTGAAATTCTCTGTACCCCACTCACTCTCTCTGCCCCAGCCACACTGGCCTTCTCTTTATTCTTTGAGCACAATTGCACTAGGTATTCTCTCTTTTGAAATGCTCTTCCTACAAATTATTCTTTGCCTGTCTCCTTGACATTCAAGGCTCAGCCCTCTGTTGTGCTTCTCTGACTCTTGTCTGAAGTATCCATATTCCAGGGTACTCTCCAATACAAAACTGTGTTCTATTTTCTACAGACCACCTATCACCATCTAAAACCTTCTTCCTTATTTATGTACCTGTTTGTTGTTTGTTCCCTCACTGGAATACAAGTTCCATGAGTGCAAGACCTTAATCTGCCTTATTTCCTGATTTGAGTTCCTATCAATAGCCTGTAATTTGGAATTCAATAAATATGAATTGAAATCTTGGTATGTTTCCTCCTATAACAATGAAAGAAGTATCCATTCTGCTGACAAATTCAGCTCCTTTTCCTGTATTCATGATCATGTTCCATACCCTCTTGCCTTTGCAAGGACTTTACTTCTGCAGATATCTCCTACCTTGCATCATCAATGTACCTCTTTCTGTATGATCATCCCCACCAGCATTTAAGTATACCCCAGGAAATCCTTTATGGACCTTCTCATGACCCACTGGAACTCCATTTTCCTGTCCCTCTTCTTGTTCTTCTCAGCAAAACTTTTCATTGACTACTTACTCAAATTTCGTTATCTCCTTCTCCACTTCAGACAGGCTTCTTCCCCACAGTCTCCTGAAGCTGTTTCTTGCAATGTCGCTACTGACCCTTATGCTGATAAATCCAATGGTCATTTTTCTATGTTAATCTTTCTCAGTCTTTCAGCAAAAACTGATGACTTCCTTTACCTTGAAACCATTATCATTCTCATCTTCCAAACCAAGACACTCTTACCTGTTTTTTCCATACTTCCCTGTTGTCTCTTAGTCTTTTTTGTTCTATCTCTAAATATTAGAGGGTCTTGGGGCTCAGCCCTGAGCCTCTTCTTTCTTCATTTCTTCTTCCTAAAAAACCTCAACTCATCTTGTCTCATGGCTTTGAATACTATTTATATGTTGATGACTCATATTTATTATCTATAGTTCTGTCCTCTCTCCTGAGCTGCAAACTGCCTACTTGGCATCTTGATGTGGATGCCTAGTGTGTTAGATATACCAAGTCTGAATGGAAATGATTCTGAACACAATTCCCTACCTCAAGGCCACAACACACACACACACACACACACACACACACACACACACACTCCTTTTTCAGGCTTTCCATCCTCAGAACAGGGTAATTCTATCAATTGTGTAGCCCAAGTCAGAAGTCTAGAAGTCAGGAATCCTCCCATTTCCTCAGCCCCACATGTAAAACAACAAAAAATCTTGCCAATTCTATTTCTAAAATATATCCACTGCTCAATCCTTTGCCAAGCTTCATTTTTTTTTTTTTGGCCCTAAACTGTACTCTTTGCTTCTAAAAGTAAGCAGTTCGATCCACTCTCTACCCAATTGCCAGAATATTCCTTTAAAAATGTAAGTCAGGCCTTGTGATTCTCCTGCTTGAACTCTCCAATGACTTCTATTCAGGATAATATTCACATATCTGTGGTCTAAAAAGCCCTTCATGATCCCTCCTGCTGAGTTTTCTGACTTGATCGTGGACCATTCTGCTTTGCTCATTGCATCCCAGCCACACTTGCCTTCTGTCTGTCCCTGGAGCATACCAAATCCATTCCTCCTGTTAGGCCTCTGCCTAAAATACTTGTACCCAGCAATTTGCCTGGCTGCTTCCTTCTTCCTTCTTGTCCTTCAGTCACAACTTAAATGTTGCCTTTTCACAGGCCTTCCTTAACCATCATAACTGAAGTTGCATGCCACCCTGTCCCTTCTCCTTCCAGTGCATTACATTGTGACATATCACTCTATTTCATATTTCATGTTCAGCACCTTCTTATTTATTTCCTGGTATCTATTTACAGTCTGTCTCTTTCTGTTGGATTATAAATTCTATGAGGGTGGGAACCTTGTCTCTGATGTTCACAGATACATCTCCTGTGCTTAGGACTGAACTTTGGTTAATATGCATAACTGTTGTTAAACTAAATAACAAACAGGGAAAGACCCTAAAAAAAAAAGATATTTGTTTGGGAATAGAACATTGCAATGGGAATATGTGTGTGATTATGAATTGTGTGTATATTCAAGGAAGTAAAAGAAGACAAAGGTTTTTAAAGGAAAAATATGAGGATTACATAATTGTTTTAGAATAATTATCCTTGGCTACAAAGACCAATAACAAGGATGATGCCAGTTTGAGGTTATACAGGCAGATGCCGGAAGGATGTTCTTGTAGGGTTGCAGTGGCTTTTGTGCACGGTTGTGGTTTTTCAGTCTTTTATGATAGTTTGGGTTAACAGGTATACAAGCATGAGAACCCTATTTTCATGGCCTTCCCTGGCTTTCTGAAGGTGTTTTTTGTTGTTTTTTTTTTTATTACATTAGTGACTCTATTTTGATTCTGACAACTTTCACATCATCATTCAAAACTTGCTTATCAAATAGGCAGGAAACCCAGTATTAAGGTATTTGATTATATGAATTATCAGTCTCAATAATGATTTTCCCTCCTACCTGCTTTCTGACTAAAATTTCAGTTTTATTTTTATTATCCTATATGTTTGTTTTTCATCCATTTCAAATGGATTTCCAAGCCATTCCAGGTAAAGTCCCTGGGCCCAAGTAATTAAATATATCTCTGTTCATTTAACTCAGAAACTGCTTCGCCTGTTAGTTTTAAACATGGTTGGAAGGATATGTGTCTGAATGTCAAGTCACCATCTTTGATCTTCAATCCAGTCATGATCTCCTCTGAGTTTTACTCCTGGCTACAGAAAGATGTGAAGAGGGTCCAGTGACCCTCAAGAAAATTTGTATTACTTGATGGCCCATGGCTTAACCTTCCCTTTTCTGATATGATCTGCCTTGTGACTTGGGATTCTGGCTTTCGTTACTAATGAGGATTGATGTTCCCAAAGGAAGATAGCCCTTAAGTCTCCTTATTGGAAATGAGACCCTCCCATTTTTTATCATCCAGAAAGTGTGATCCGTATCTCCTTTCATCATGGAAAGTTATGCTGTGAAGCACCCTTCTGCTTTTGCTATTTCTGGATCTTCATTCCATCTTCGTCCATGTCATTGCCACTGATTAAATCGTGTAAATTTAAATTGGTTTTCCAGCTTGTGGAGGATAATTTGATATTGTCCTTATTTACATTTGATAATTACAGATTAAGTCACTTGACTAGAGTCACTAGTACAAGTAGTATCAGGATCATGAAGTTTGTCTTCATTGAGGTCAAACCCTGATATTCCTTATAGAATCTTGCTATTTTGCACAGAGTAAGCACTTGGAGACTTTTGTAGTTGTTAATGGAGAAAACTAAAGAAACTGAGGAAATAAATAGAAGGGGACCTATAGTGATATCTGGCTCCCAATAATGATGCCTATTCTTAGAACCAGTCTTTGTGACTTCTCCAGTAGTAGTTTGGGGTCACAGCTAAGGTCTGGCTGTGTTTTGGGAGCTTTGTGTGTGACCTTGTGTCAGTTCATCCATGTTTATACTTTGACTTTCACCCGTACCTGTCTCAGACCTGTTTGAAAAAGGAGATTATAAATTTGATATTTAAATACACTGCTATTCTAGGAGGGCCTTACAACTGAGTACTTTCTTTTTTTGCCTGGACTACCATCTGATCTGGAAGAAGAGTTAACTTCTTGTTTTCTGCTTGTCAGTTTAGGGCGTTGAAACTTGAGCTCGTTCTCATACATAGAAAAATGACTTTTCCAGCTATATCCCTAAGTGTATCATTGCTATAGTTTCTTACCTATCTCCTAGAATAACTTCTGTTCCATTATTAATAATAATATTGTTACTTTAAGTCACAGGAATCTGTGTTGAAATGACTGTCCCTTTATCTAGTTCCCATCAGAAAGTATTTACTGAGTTCTCTTTGGTGGCATATTACTCTACTAGATTAACAGAATAAAATAATGAAGAATAATCAACATATTTTCTCCTCTCTAGGCATTAACGGTTTAATAGCTAAGATAGTTATGTAAATTCATTAAAGTAATTTTCAGGATCATATGTGTACTGAGCTTTTACAAGATCTCTTATATACTTTAGTTTCTTATGCTATCCTGGGAAAGTTTGTATTTAAAGATTTTTACCTTTTTGTCCCACAAATTCACAAATAGCGTACATTAGTTATGTGCAGTTTTTTTGTGTATAAATAAGACCTCATTGAAGCTGGGAAAAATATTAATATCCGCTCCCCCTACCACCCTTATAAAAAAAAATCAAAACATATGTAATCATCCTTCAAGGCCCTTGCCACATGCCTTTCCTGTTTTCCCCAGACTCTGACCTCACTGTGAAAAAACAAGCAAACAAACTAAAACCACTAATTTTTACTTGTAAGGGTGAAGGAGATGGAACAATTCTGAGGATTTTCTGAAATTTTATGAAAAATTACTTTCTCCATCTCTGAAGTCTACCCTAAAAATTCTCTGAACCTCTGAGCTTATTTCTGTGTATATTCACCCTTACTGCAATGATATGCATTCTTCATTCCATAAAATATTGCCCTATTTTAGACTTTCATTCTAAAGATCAAAGTTTTCAGGATAATTGGTAACAAGGCAGAAGCAGAGAAGAGGTTTTAGCCTCTCTTGGTTTTTATGTTTCTGTAGCCTTTGTCTCAGGTCCTCAGGTCAGGGTAAGTTTCTGCCAAGGTTTCCTTTTGCTAAGCCTAAAATTCAGAGTAACCAATCTTAAGTTTGCTGTTGAGATATCTTGCAAATACAAATGCTTTCTTGGGTATATCAAGAGGCATTCTTTGTCACCTCCCTAGAGATCTTCAAGTGGTCAGATGCTCAGCAGTTCTGTAAAGGTGAGTAATCCTGTAATAGAGGCATATTTGGGTCTGTCGCTGTATCTGGATGAGATAACATGTTATGTTTAAGATAAAAGACCAGTAAATTCACATGTCATCTCAAGTGAAGAGGGCTCCTGAGTGCTCCATGCTTCCTTTTACTCCTAGGGGCACTGGGTATGAGGGTTAAGTCATGATAGCTGGCCAAACCTATTCATCCTGTGATCTTTATGACTTTGATCTATGGTATCCATACTGTGTTAGGGTGAGGTTAGAAGTTAGAGACAAGAGATGTTAATATTACCTCATCCTCATCCCATTCAATTCAAAAAATACTTTTAAGTAACTACTAGATACTAAGCTCTAGACCAGACAGTGGGGCCTGGGAGTGACATAAAAATGAATCTGATAGTCTTTGCCTTTGAGAAACTCCTACACTAGTTGTAAAGGCCAACTCTTAAATATATATTGTACTATGAGGTAGTTCTCTTATTTAAGAAGTGCTATGAGGTCATAGAGAAATAAATCATAAATGCTACCTAGAAGAATTAGAGAACTATAGGCCCTCTGAGCAGAGGAAACAGCATTTGCAAAAGCATAAGTGTGCAAGAACATGATGTCTCTGGAAAAAATCAGTGTTGTTGGAGTATAGGCTACATAGTGAGGAATGGTAGTTGATTAAATGGATTGGAGCTTACTTGTAAAAAAATATATGCATTTTTTCCCTATAAACAGTGGTAAGTCATAGTAAGTTTTTAAATGTGCAGAGTGGCATGACCACATTTGTGTTTTAGAAAGATAAATGTGCAGTAGTATAGAAGGTGTACCAGCCCAAGGGAGAACAATTAGAAAAGTAAATTATGTCATTCAGTGATCCAATGAGAGACTACTGCAATGACAAAATAGTTGGTTTGGAGAGAGATTTCTGGAGTCCAGTCACTAAACTTCAGTAAGTAATTGAATGAAGAGAAGAGAGTAGAGGATGAGTTAGAGGATGAGTTACAAAAAGGAAATGATCACTGTGAGATTTTTAAGGCAGAAGACTTGGTAGATGATATCATAGATTAACAGAATATGTATAAAAATGGAAAATGAAGACTATAAGTTATAACTGACCACAAATAAAGTTGGCATCCATGCACAGAAATGCAGACTGTGTGCATTAAACAAGTAGTGTTCTAGAGTTGACTGATCCGTTGGAAAGTTTTGTAAATGTAAGAATTTCTGTGAGTAAACATAAGCAGGCCTGTCAGCAAGTCCAGTCAGGTTGAGATTTAATATAAAACACAAAAAGTCTCCAAAAAGTCTCCTGAATCCCAGCCTCAAATTCTGTTTGGGTTGATTTGGTTTTCTTTTGTAGATAAATCATGTGTGAGTCATAGAGAACTCCTTTAGGACTCTGTGATTACACACATGGGTATTGCATTTGGGTTGACAATGACATATTCTTGTAATAAAGGGTGAGTTGGCAGGAGACAGTTCCTGGGTACATGGATACCAGAACAGCAGTTCCAACCAGAAACCATCACTCTTCCAAAAGAGATCTGAGTAATTGCCACATACTTTTTAAAATAAATAAGCAAAAAGGAATCACCTCCCTGATCCACTCCAGAGACACTGCTTCAAGATTACCAGCTAGAGAGGATCCCTAGAAGAGAAGGAAGTTTTGGCTGCTCTCTTCCAGTTTTAAGTCTCCAGTGCTACTGACCAGGAGCTTGAATTTCATTTGGCTTTAAATTGTATGAGTCCTTAATCTGTCACCCCTGCTTGTCATAAATGATATTCTATTCTCTGCTATTCTTTCAGTAGAGAAAGAACTAAGTTTTTCTAAAATGTAAGTCTAGCTGGGAGATGATCACTCTTTATTTTTATTTTTATTTTAAGTTCTGGGGTACATGTGCAGGATGTGCAGTTTTGTTACAGGGTAAACGTGTGCCGCGAGATTTCTTATCTCTTTGTCTTTAGATATCTACTCTTTGGTGACTCATCTGCTACATGTATTATCTCAGACAATATTGTAACCTGGGATAATGACATGCCTTTTAATGAATGTAAGTAAAACAATCTCTTTATTGCACCCTATTTAATTCCTCTTGTCCCCTTCCAGAGGGAAATTGAGCATCTGCACACCAAAGTGAGTAGCCAGGAGGGTTTACACTTGGTTTGAGTAGCTCTAGGCACACAGCTATGACTTACCCATCTTCCTCATGGCCCCCAATCCTACCACACGTTCCTTTGTTTACTGTCCTTTGATTATAAGTTATTTCATAGTGAGTAAATGCTTACATCTAAAACATTCCAGGAGATTACACACTGCCAACTTTATTCCATGCAAAAAGTAAGCCACCCTAGGTCCCTTCTATAACAATTTATCTGTGGTCTGGGGCGGGGACTGGTGACCAGCTCATAGCTTTTCGGTTTTTATCAGCCAGTTCCATATATCTTTTGACCTTGCTACTTCCTATTTAGAATCATCTTTGAGATCAGGATACAGAATTTCAACAAAATAGGTAAATTGTAGGCTGAGTTGCAGTTTGGATTGCAAGAATGAAGAGAAAATTCTCAGAAAGTATAATATTCTCTCTTTCCCCACCTACTCCTTAAAAAGGTATTCCTTGTAAGTCACTCCCAGCCATCCCCCATGGGACTTTGACAGCAGCAGCAGGGAGAGGGGTTTGCTATGAAATCATCAGTGCCATATTGGATGTAATAGGGAAAAGCTGTTTGACCTCTTGGATGAGAAGTCAATGCATTGCACCAGCAAAGATAATCAAGTTGATGTCTGGAGCTCTGGAGCAACCCTCCTCTTCAGTGTATTACTCTTACTTGAATGCTCAATTATAGAAGTTGAAAATGGAGTTGTGGAATCTGGATTATGTTCATTTTTTTAAAATGATACATGATATTTAAGTGTAAGCTTGGTTTTACCCTGAAAGGCAGCAATGTAATATGGTGTCAACTAAACAGCAAACAGAATCCTCTACTGCCAAAGTGCTTCAGGGGTGAGTTGGGCTGAAACTTCAGGATCTAGAAATAAAACAAGGTTTTTCTGGGAAATAGATATATGGTACCTATGGAAAGAGCAGAAGGAAGATAGTATATGTGGTTGAGTTTTCTAGTTAAAGAGTTTTTTATTGTTATTGTTTGTTTTGTGTTTCTGTTTTTGTTTTTTTGAGATGGAGTCTCGCTCAGTCGCCCAGGCTGGAGTGCAATGGCGTGATCTTGGCTCACTGCAACCTCCACCTCCTGGGTTCAAGCGATTCTCCTGTCTCAGCCTCCCGAGTAGCTGGGATTACAGGCATCCAACATCATGCCTGGCTAATTTTTGTATTTTTGTAGAGATGGGGTTTCACCATGTTGACCAGGCTGGTCTTGAACTCCTGACCTCAGGTGATCCACCTGCCTCAGCCTCCCAAAGTGCTGGGATTACAGACGTGAACCACCACACCCTGCCTAGTTAAAGAGTTTAAAAGTAAACTTTGAAAGTAATATCTAAATGTTGCAGATGTAGGACTTTTTCTTCTTTTGTATTTTGGGGCAGTGCTAGATCTGTGTTATTGTAGGGGAAATTAAAAGATGCTTTTTTAAAAAAGCAGATAGCACCAAAGTCAATGATTAGAGATTTTTTCATACATATATATATATATAATTATCACATCTTATCCATAGGTGTGCTTTGAACATATATATGCCACTCTTCTCTGTCTTCTGGAATGCAGACCAAAGATGTTAAATTGATTCAGTTGAGTATATATTATACTGCAGATTCTATATGTATAAAGACAACAGTTCTCGAAAGTTACCCTTACTGAAACCAAGTATAGCACTGATGTGATGAAACAGTTTGGCTGTATCTTCTTATGTCAGTTTTCACTGAAGACCTCCTCTTGGAGCCAAAGGGAAGTTAACTGAAAGTTCTAGAGGTTGGCAATTTTCCCTTTATTCTGAGACTCCCTCAGAAAAGGCGTGCATAACAAAGTAAATGTAAACAATATCCTTCATGGTTATTAGGACAAGTAAATGAAGAATATGAGGCCATTATTCAAAACCTCTGTTCACTTCCTGTGGCTTTTTCAAAGTGTTCCAGCCTCAAGTCAGGACAAATCACCTGTACTGAGGCTCTAGCATCTTCAGCAGCAGGACCAAAAGTGGTCATCTCAGCCTGTACCCCCAGTTGTGTGTTTGAAGCAGCCATTGAATAATTAGTATGTTCCAGGTATTGTACTTTCTCTGTTCATGTACTTTTAGCACTGGATTCTCACTATACCTTATGAAGTAGTTTGCGTTATACTATAGACTAAGAAACTGAAGCTTAAAGAGAGTAAGACTTGCCTGAGGTCACACAGCTATTGAATGACCGTGGGGAGTTGAAACTAGGTCCACTGAGCTCAAATTTCCCTAATCCATGGTACCTCCCCACATGTAACTATCATGCCACTAATATGTTATTTTCATGTGCTGAATTTGCCTTTTGTTTCATTATTAAAATTGATTAGACTCAGAACTTTTGGATATATTCTTTTCATTATTATTGTTTGGTCAAGATGATTTATGTTGATCTGTTTGCTGAGGATCAAGAAAAAGGTAAGAATTTAGGAGTTTGGGAGTAAGCAGGGAATAAATAAACTATACATATTTCTAAGTCTGTTTCTGAAAAAGTTATGTGATCTATATTTGGATATTTTACCTACATTTGAATATTTTCTCACCATGATCAGTATGCCTACCAAGTTCCTTTTCTACTTTTCAGGGATTTCTTGTGGCTCTCCTCCGCCTATCCTAAATGGCCGGATTAGTTATTATTCTACCCCCATTGCTGTTGGTACCGTGATAAGGTACAGTTGTTCAGGTACCTTCCGCCTCATTGGAGAAAAAAGTCTATTATGCATAACTAAAGACAAAGTGGATGGAACCTGGGATAAACCTGCTCCTAAATGTGAATATTTCAATAAATATTCTTCTTGCCCTGAGCCCATAGTACCAGGAGGATACAAAATTAGAGGCTCTACACCCTACAGACATGGTGATTCTGTGACATTTGCCTGTAAAACCAACTTCTCCATGAACGGAAACAAGTCTGTTTGGTGTCAAGCAAATAATATGTGGGGGCCGACACGACTACCAACCTGTGTAAGTGGTGAGTATGAAAAGAAAGCTGGGTTGGGAGGTTGGGGTCTTGCCTTTCTGTGCAGACCACGTTTTGTACCCTCCTGAAGGACAAACAGTGTGAACATGTAATGATGAGGGTGGAAGAAGGAAACAAGGGAAAAGGTGAAAGTTATGGCTTCTTCGTGGAGGCATATAACTGCTCGTTCAAAAAACATCAATTGAGCAAAGGAGTTTAAAGTACATGGAAAAATGTAATTAAACACACCTAATAATTGAGTAGGGTAAGTTTTGCAAGGATGGGGTCAGAGTTTGTTGGGGATGTGGGAATGGGGTGGTTTTCAACTGTATATCTGTGTTACTGTTAAAATGAGAAGAACGGTGGGATCTTATAGCAAAAATACACCCAATGGATTTGAAATTAATGTATAAGTAGCTGCTAACACAGTCTAGCACAGGTGATATCCTGCTCTCTGTGGTCTCTGTAAACATGTTTTGAAGTTATCCACTATTTCCCCAAGTCATCTTCTGAGCCATCACATTTCAAATAAATGCCTTTGAAAATAGGGACCTACTGTAAATTATTCATTCCTTCTCTTTTGGTTTGGTTTATGTTGCTGCTGAAATATAAATCTGAATTTGAATTCCACAATTACAAGAAATGGCAATATTTGACAAAAATTATACTATCAAATTAGGTATTTTCTTAATAAAGAACAATATTGACAAATTTTAAGCAGATTAAAGAGCTGACAAAACTGTTAAATTAGTATAAAATGGGATTCTGTTTATTGATTGATTGATTGATAAATAGCCTTGGAGGAAGGAGATCTTAACGATAGTTACAAAGGGCAATGGCTGCTGAAAACAGTTAAGCCTTTGTAACAATTTAGACAGACATATATGTATGGACATGGAAGGATATCGTATACATGTCGCTAAGTAGAGGAAGTAAGGCATAGAATATGTATTAGTTGTACACACACACATAATATAGGTGTATATATGTATCATGCATAGGATCCCAATAAACTATATTGCCAATATCTACCAGGATAGCCCTTGAAATGATAGCATGCTACTTTTGGAACAGAGAATAAGCTTAAGGATAGGGTGAGAATATAGGTGAAAATTGACTTTTTTTGGTAATTGAAATTTTTCACAAGGCAAATGTAATTCATATAGTGTAACTAAAAATGAAAAATAAGGTACTATTTATGGCTATTTGTGGCATAAAATGGATACACTTAAACCACACCTGTTTGATCTTTAAAAGACTAGGTTGAAAGTTAATACCAACTGGCTACCATAGATCATGTGTCATTTATTTAAATCCATATCCTAAGTCAGCATCTCGATCAAGCTTGTCCAACTCGCTACCCGTGGACAGCATGTGGCCCAGGATGGCTTTGAATGTGGCCCAACAGAAATTCATAAACTTTCTTAAACCATTATGAGATTTTTTTTTTGCAATTTTTTTAGCTTATCAGCTATCATTAGTGTTAGCGTATATTATGTGTGGCCCAAGACAATTTTTCTTCTTCCAATGTTGCCCAGGGAAGCCAAAAGATTGGACCCCCTTGATTCTAGATTGTGAAGGATGCATCATCTGACGGCTTTTTTTTCCTGGTATGTGTGTGTAAAGTTTTCCCTCTCGAGTGTCCAGCACTTCCTATGATCCACAATGGACATCACACAAGTGAGAATGTTGGCTCCATTGCTCCAGGATTGTCTGTGACTTACAGCTGTGAATCTGGTTACTTGCTTGTTGGAGAAAAGATCATTAACTGTTTGTCTTCGGGAAAATGGAGTGCTGTCCCCCCCACATGTGAAGGTACCCTAAATTTACAATCTATTTTAAGAATCTGGGCTGTTCTGTTATTTGCCATGCATTTCTCATCTTTGGTTTGTTTTTTAGAGGCACGCTGTAAATCTCTAGGACGATTTCCCAATGGGAAGGTAAAGGAGCCTCCAATTCTCCGGGTTGGTGTAACTGCAAACTTTTTCTGTGATGAAGGGTGAGTGTCAGGATTATTTATGAGATTTAATTCATTTGTCTTGTGTGTGCGTGGTGTGGACTGTGAAACCTGCAGAAGTCTCCTCTGTGAGGATCTCTGGGCAGTCTGGGGTAGGGTTGTGAGAGGTAATGCTGATAAAAGGAACAGATGCACACTGATTGAAATGAACTTGTCTTGAATTGTAAGTAGAGGCTGCTGTTCTTCAGCACAAACTGCCTAATAGTTCTGAATGACAACCTTCTGTCTCCAGGTATCGACTGCAAGGCCCACCTTCTAGTCGGTGTGTAATTGCTGGACAGGGAGTTGCTTGGACCAAAATGCCAGTATGTGAAGGTAGGCTAGGCAACTATGGTCTGACAGCACTGCATTCTCAGCTTAACTAAAAGCTTTTGGTTCAGTCATTACCTTACAGACTCTTACTGAACACAGAACTCCTAGAGATCTTTAAGGATATGTGCTTCACCAAAGCATCCTTATTTTTTGTTTCCTCAAGTAAAATGGGGTTCCTAGGCTTTCCCTCCTCTGAAAGCTATGCAGACCTTCTAAGTAGGTAGACCATATGCATAAAGAAAATAGTGTATTTGGTAAAAGAAATCAAAGGATCAGCAGAGTACATATACTCAGGAATGAAGCTTGAGAATCAATCTTCTAAATTATGTTGCTTTAGCTGCCTTGACTGATTCATTATAGACTCGGATATCACTGTCCTAGGATAGTGGTATCAAGCAGCATCTGGGGCATTCTTTGTTTTCAATACACCTATGATCTTGTCATTTCTTTCTGCAATTCCCCTAGAAATTTTTTGCCCATCACCTCCCCCTATTCTCAATGGAAGACATATAGGCAACTCACTAGCAAATGTCTCATATGGAAGCATAGTCACTTACACTTGTGACCCGGACCCAGAGGAAGGAGTGAACTTCATCCTTATTGGAGAGAGCACTCTCCGTTGTACAGTTGATAGTCAGAAGACTGGGACCTGGAGTGGCCCTGCCCCACGCTGTGAACTTTCTACTTCTGCGGTTCAGTGTCCACATCCCCAGATCCTAAGAGGCCGAATGGTATCTGGGCAGAAAGATCGATATACCTATAACGACACTGTGATATTTGCTTGCATGTTTGGCTTCACCTTGAAGGGCAGCAAGCAAATCCGATGCAATGCCCAAGGCACATGGGAGCCATCTGCACCAGTCTGTGAAAAGGGTGAGTGTTCCGGTACTCAGAAAAGGTGCTTCTGATTCGTTTCTGAAAAATTAGAAGAAGGGGTTGTGGGCTTTAGGTAGGGCCTTGTCCAGTTTATACTTCCCTCAAATCTACTACATCTAATCAATATAAATTTTGTAGAGGGCATTCTTATCACTAGCCCCCCACCATTGTTTTATTTTGTGGGAATATGCTTGGAAAAAATGTTAGGAATCACTAAGTTTCTCATTTCTATAGGGGAAAAAATGAGGAGAAAAATGCTTGTTTGTCTTAATAGTGACTTCTTAAAAGAGAAGTCATTCAAGCCCTCATTCCTAGGGATATATCAGAATCTCCCATAAAAAACATACAAGATGATTCCTTATGAAGGGAAGAGGCAGGAGAGGAGTTGCAGAACCCAGTGGAAAGTGAACAACATCTGCAGCAGCCTCTGTGCAGAAAACAACAACAACAACAACAACAAAAGATTGGGAAACTGTGATCTAAAATTACCCAAAGCTGGTCTGCAACATATGTTCTGTATCATACAGCTGACGCCAGAGTGGAATTATAGCATGAATATCAATTTCTTTGGCTCAGTTTCTTTCTGTGGTTGTTTACTTAAGCAGTTATGTTTTGTTTTTGTCCTTTCATTTAGAATGCCAGGCCCCTCCTAACATCCTCAATGGGCAAAAGGAAGATAGACACATGGTCCGCTTTGACCCTGGAACATCTATAAAATATAGCTGTAACCCTGGCTATGTGCTGGTGGGAGAAGAATCCATACAGTGTACCTCTGAGGGGGTGTGGACACCCCCTGTACCCCAATGCAAAGGTGCCAGGCCTCAAATGTAGACATTTTGTTAACTTTAAGATTGCCTTGAATTAAATTCTCATCCTAGTCTCTTTTCTTAGTGGCAGCGTGTGAAGCTACAGGAAGGCAACTCTTGACAAAACCCCAGCACCAATTTGTTAGACCAGATGTCAACTCTTCTTGTGGTGAAGGGTGAGTGAAGGCTGACTTAGTCTGACCCAATTCCGGTGTATCAGCACACACTGCAGGCTCTATGTAAGAGTTTGTATCAGTACACCCTGCAAGCTCTATGTAAGAGTTTGTCTCATAGGTGCTTGCCTGTCACATGGTCATGGAAGTGTCTATCATACTATTTTTCCATGCATGGAAATTATGCCTGTGCAATGAGAAGTTGGTGCTGATGTTGGCTACATTTTTGTTGCTATTGCTTCTTGGCCTGAAAGTAGTGAGTCTGCTTGGGAGCCATGGCTCTTGCCTAACTTAATGGTCACCTGATGGCAAAATGACATACGTGACTCTGTCTCTAGGTACAAGTTAAGTGGGAGTGTTTATCAGGAGTGTCAAGGCACAATTCCTTGGTTTATGGAGATTCGTCTTTGTAAAGGTGAGTAGCAAAAATGATATAGGAGCTGAAATAATGTGAGATCTATACATTTCCTGGGAGATTTTTGTTTTGGGACATGTTATGAGAATTAGAGTATTAGATTCTGTTCTATTGATTCTGCCAATAGTTATGGTTGCACAGTTTTACCATGTCTTTCTTTTGCTACCTTTTTCTTCATCAATAACTTAAATCTACTTTGTTACTGATTCTATTTTGTGGTTTACGATTATGGGAATAATGACAGCGGTGAGTATATGAGCCACCATCTTAATTTTGGGTATACCACAGTTTAGTGGAGAGAGTAAGGGATAGGTGTCAGATCTGAATTCACATTCTGTCTCTACTGCTTACTAGTGTGAGACCTTGGACCACTTGTACAACTCCTCTGAAACTCTAGCCTTTCTTCTGTAAAGTTGGCATAAGACTACAGACTAGGAGGTCCAGAGAATGTAAATAAAAAGTAAAAAGGACCAGGCACAGTGGCTCACGCCTATAATCCCAGCACTTCAGGAGGCTGAGGGCGGCAGATCACAAGGTCAGGAGATCAAGACCATCCTGGCTAACATGGTAAAACCCCATCTCTACTAAAAATACAAAAAATTAGCTGTGTGTGGTGGCATGCATCTGTGGTCCTAACTACTTGGGAGACTGAGGCAGGAGAATCACTTGAACCCGGGAGGCGGAGATTGCAGTGAGCTGAGATCACACCACTGCACTCCAGCCTAGGCAACAGCGTGAGACTCCATCTCAAAAAAAAAAGTAAAAAGAAACGTAGAAAATTTAAAAAACACTACAGACTTCAAATTATTCAAATTAAATTGTACTATTGCTACTTTCTGGATGAGGAAACTGCCTATCACAAAGTAGGTGCTCATTCAACAATAAGTTTTCTCAGCTAGCCATATAAACCATCATATCACCTCAGCACAGAGTAACCAAGAAAGCATAATTCTATTACCCTGTGTCTTTTATTCTCCTATTGCCTAATTAAAAAGAATTCTTCTTTTAATTAGCAATTTACTACTGGGCCTAACTAACTCCTAATGTGATGTTGATCAACCACATTCACTTTGAATAAAGATTTTCTTTCCTATGAAATGTGTTTAAATTGCATTTTACATACTTAATGAGCTTTCACACAACTCACATCATGAAAATGTACCCATACCGTCCAGGAAACAACAGATTCATAACCAGCTTCATTTGGTGGTTCTTTGTTCTTTGGTGTCTAATACAGGAACTCAATTCTACAGTATCTTTTCATCTCTCTAGAAATCACCTGCCCACCACCCCCTGTTATCTACAATGGGGCACACACCGGGAGTTCCTTAGAAGATTTTCCATATGGAACCACGGTCACTTACACATGTAACCCTGGGCCAGAAAGAGGAGTGGAATTCAGCCTCATTGGAGAGAGCACCATCCGTTGTACAAGCAATGATCAAGAAAGAGGCACCTGGAGTGGCCCTGCTCCCCTGTGTAAACTTTCCCTCCTTGCTGTCCAGTGCTCACATGTCCATATTGCAAATGGATACAAGATATCTGGCAAGGAAGCCCCATATTTCTACAATGACACTGTGACATTCAAGTGTTATAGTGGATTTACTTTGAAGGGCAGTAGTCAGATTCGTTGCAAAGCTGATAACACCTGGGATCCTGAAATACCAGTTTGTGAAAAAGGTAAAAACCCAATAAGGGGGAAAAAAGGAGAGATTTACTTAATTATTCTTGTTTATTATCTCCCACCCAAAACTGCATCATGGAAAGAGGCAAGAGGGGCACAGATTACTTTCTGTTTCTTCCATCCTATAATAGATGTTCTCTGTGTTGTGTGTGTGCATGCAAATGCCCCCTTGGATCTGGGATCTATTCAGGGTAGATAATGAGAGAGCCTTTTTAAAGAGCAAACAGCATTCAGTAGTGAATTTGAGCTTCATGATCTTTGGCATCAGAGTTTCAGACTGTCTGTCCAATGTTGTACACTTAGTGTTCTTGAGTAGAAATTCCTCTGTGTTGGTATTTATGTAGGGAGTTTTTCTCTTCAGGCTGCCAGTCACCTCCTGGGCTCCACCATGGTCGTCATACAGGTGGAAATACGGTCTTCTTTGTCTCTGGGATGACTGTAGACTACACTTGTGACCCTGGCTATTTGCTTGTGGGAAACAAATCCATTCACTGTATGCCTTCAGGAAATTGGAGTCCTTCTGCCCCACGGTGTGAAGGTACTTTAAGTTCCAGAGTTGTCCTTCTCTTTGATATGAGACATCTATAAATACTGTAATTCCATCCTTGCTTCTCCAGAAACATGCCAGCATGTGAGACAGAGTCTTCAAGAACTTCCAGCTGGTTCACGTGTGGAGCTAGTTAATACGTCCTGCCAAGATGGGTGAGTATGAAGTGGTCTATTCTGAGAAAAGGTCTCAACCTTGTTTTGTGGATTAACTTGACCTTCAACTTGTCTTGGTGGCATCCTTTAGAGGCTCCTCATTGTCACAGGCATGGAGAATATGAGGTTCCAATGGCCTAAATAGCAACTCTGACTCTTCAGTCGTCTCTTGACATGGAAAGGGCTTTGCTTAACTCAAAAGTAGTTTTTTTACTTGGAGTAAAAAAAAGTAGTTTTTTACTAGAATTTCAACTCCTCTCTGCCAAAGTTCTTATTTAGAAGTCCCTTTTTGCATGCAGTTTGAAGAGATATGATATTGGGAACAGGAAATGCATTATAATCTGTCTCTCTGTAGGTACCAGTTGACTGGACATGCTTATCAGATGTGTCAAGATGCTGAAAATGGAATTTGGTTCAAAAAGATTCCACTTTGTAAAGGTAAGTTAGAAAAAATAAAAGCCTGACAATGGTAATGGAGGATTAGAGAGGGCAGGCCACTGAAGAATTAGTCTACTGCTGCTTCAGCAGTCTTAGGCGTCTCCCTCATTGGAGGTTAGATAAGAAAAATCTTATGGTGTTGGTCAGTATTGACACTGAGAAACAACATTGTCAAGTAGGAACTGTTTTTCATGCATCTGCTAATTTTGCTAACAATAACAAAATATATAGCCCATATTCCTAGGTCATGGGAACATAGCTGTATTTCTTTCTTCCTTCACACTTTACTCTATTTTCTGAATTTTTATGGAGTATATAGTACTCCTATAATCACATTTAATAAAGCTGTTTTTAAAAAAAGCATAATCCATATTCCAAAATTTAAGTTATTTTCTAGTTATGTGAAATATATGCAGTTGCATATTGTCATTTGTACCTGAATGAAGACCGCTCACCTTGAGGTACTAGCTGAAGTAGAACTCCCTAAATCTCTTCTGCAGTTATTCACTGTCACCCTCCACCAGTGATTGTCAATGGGAAGCACACAGGCATGATGGCAGAAAACTTTCTATATGGAAATGAAGTCTCTTATGAATGTGACCAAGGATTCTATCTCCTGGGAGAGAAAAAATTGCAGTGCAGAAGTGATTCTAAAGGACATGGATCTTGGAGCGGGCCTTCCCCACAGTGCTTACGATCTCCTCCTGTGACTCGCTGCCCTAATCCAGAAGTCAAACATGGGTACAAGCTCAATAAAACACATTCTGCATATTCCCACAATGACATAGTGTATGTTGACTGCAATCCTGGCTTCATCATGAATGGTAGTCGCGTGATTAGGTGTCATACTGATAACACATGGGTGCCAGGTGTGCCAACTTGTATCAAAAAAGGTAAGATACTTGGAAGGGATAAGTTATGGGATGTTGTACAGAATAAAGAAAAGAGGTTTTGAATCTGCACTTGACATTCTGCCTAAAGAAAAGCATCTAAGAGCTAAGGCAGTTATATTGTTTTACAAGATATTTGCCTTTTCCTATCTTCTCACTTGATTGTTTGTTTTCTCTTTCCTTTCTCAGTATATTGAGCAATAAATAGTACATGAAAGGATAATGGCTAACTTCCAAATTGATAGCATCTCCAAAAATTGTTATTGTTATGACTTTAGTGTAAGAAAAATGCACATACATTTTTGGCAAATGTTTGGCAGTAATATTGCTAATTATTTGATATTTAAGGCTATGTTGCCAGCCAGAAAGAGAACTTTGGGTGTTCTGGAGAATTAATTGGCCCTCCAACCCATTGAATTGTCTTTCTTGTAATTGTAGTTATCATTTGGCAGCCTTATTCCTGTCCATGACTATCTACAGCAGAGGCTGTTTGGCAACGGTTGTCTTTGACCAGCACAGTAATCTTAAGTGAAACCCATCTTCAGTTTAAGATAAATAGTGAGCTTGCGAGCCACAAGACCCCCTTTGCTTCCCAGCAAGGCACCAGTAACTTGAGCTGAGCAGTGGCTGCCACTTTTAGAAGGACAGGGGCTCTCTGACTTGTCGTATCTGGTGGCTTCACTTCCTAGCTCTCGTAGACATTTGAAGGTGTAACCATGTCTGCTATTTAAAGGGAAAGGAAAAGAAAACTGTTGGCTGATGGATTACCATTGTGAACTGTATCCATTAATGTTTCATTATCTTATTTTTTAACACTTTTCTTCAAATCATATTGGCTATCAGTAGGAAATGCAGATCTCCATCCAGTGTTGCTGGTCTGGGTGGAATGAATGAATGTTTTTGGATACCAGTTAGTTGGCTTGTTGCTTCTGGCCTTCCTGTATCGCTATCACCCAGAGATAGTGCAGGCTATGTGTTCCTCTGTGCTGAGTTAAAGACCCTTTCTTATTGGTGTCTAAGCCTTCATAGGGTGTCCACCTCCGCCTAAGACCCCTAACGGGAACCATACTGGTGGAAACATAGCTCGATTTTCTCCTGGAATGTCAATCCTGTACAGCTGTGACCAAGGCTACCTGCTGGTGGGAGAGGCACTCCTTCTTTGCACACATGAGGGAACCTGGAGCCAACCTGCCCCTCATTGTAAAGGTGCTTTGTCTATTTTTTATTCTTATTTTTATATCAAATTTGTGCCAAATAGATATATTCAGTTGGGTACTTTCAACTTAAAATAGCCAAAGAAATGAATTAACTGTCTGATTACATTAAAGGCTTTAATTAGATTAATACAATCATTAAATATCTCAAAATAAGAAAAAATGTCTCAGGCTGTAGTCTATCTGGTGAATGACCACTTATGTAGTCATTTACACATAGAAAGTTGGAGTTATGTCTGTAAATTAAACAACCAAAGCACAGATTGTATTTACACACTGTAGTTACAGTTATGTTAAGTGTGTATTTGATAAAGTACCAATAAAAAGCACAGCAATCTTTTGAGAATATTTACTGAGTGTTGGTGGGATTATGGGTACATTTTTAATAAAAGTTTCAGAAAGTCATTTTCATTGTCATAAACAGTGCATATGAAATATGACTAGTAAATTAGTGTCTAGTATTCATTGAACACTTTTTACTCTATGCCAGACACTGTGCACAGCACCTGACATGCATTATTTCATTTAGTCTTCATGAGAGCCACATGAGGTTGGTGCCATGATTATCCCTGTTTTATAGATGAGGTTTCAGTAGCATGGAGAGATTTGGAACTTACCCAAAGTCACACATCTAGGAAGTACTAGAGCCAGGCTTCAAATCCAAGATCTCACTGTGTTAATCCATTCTCACACTGCTAATAAAGACATATCTGAAACTGGGTAATTTATAAAGGAAAGAGATTTAATGGACTCACAGTTTCACATGGCTGGGGAAGCCTCACAATCATGGCAGAAGGTGAAGGAGGAGCAAAGGCACATCTTACATGATGGCAGGCAAGAGAGCGTGTGCAGGAGAACTGTCCTTTATAAACCATCAGATCTCATGAGACTTATTTACTATCACAAAAACAACACAGGAAACCCCACCCCCATGATCCAATGACCTCTCACCAGGTCCCTCCCATGGCGCATGGGGATTATGGGAGCTACAATTCAACATGAGATTTGAGTGGGGACACAGCCAAACCATATCACTCACACTATTGATGACTACACTGAAAAGAAGAAAGAAATGAGAAAGCACGCACATGTATGAAGAATTAGAGAGTAAAACTAGAAGCAGAAAATAACAGTAATTCAGAATACTTCATAATATTACCAATTCGGCCCTCACCATTTCTCCAAGAAGCCATTAAAATTATCCATCACTGTTTGGATAGAAACTGAAGCAAAAAACACAAATATAATCTGGCTTAAATTACCCAGAGGTTATTGAGATAGAGGGCTGACAGTAAAAGATTGTGTCTAGGATATAGTCTTATCCTATTTCAGTGCAGCTTTCCTTACTGAGAGTGAAACAGGTTGGTTTTATAAATCTTTCTATTAAGGGAAATTTCTGCTTTCTTGGTAAAAGGCCAAAATATGACTGTGCTTGAATTAGATTTCTTTAATTTCAGAGGTAAACTGTAGCTCACCAGCAGATATGGATGGAATCCAGAAAGGGCTGGAACCAAGGAAAATGTATCAGTATGGAGCTGTTGTAACTCTGGAGTGTGAAGATGGGTATATGCTGGAAGGCAGTCCCCAGAGCCAGTGCCAATCGGATCACCAATGGAACCCTCCCCTGGCGGTTTGCAGATCCCGTAAGTACCAAGGGCTTCACCGCCGCTTGTAACTGGCTAACGGAGAGAAGAGAGTGAGAGTTTCCCTCAGCGTGGAGAGTCCTGGGTTTTAAATTGACATAGGTTTGTGACCAGTTGTATAATTACAGAGGAACTTGAAGTCAGTGGTCTATTCTAGAAAAAGCACAGCTTGGCCAGGTCCGTGACTTCTGCCTGTGATACCAGAATTTTGAGAGGCTGAGGCAGGAGGATTGCTTGAGCCTAGGAGTTTAAAACCAGTCTGGGCAATGTAGTGAGACCTGGTCTCTACCAAAAAAAAAATAATAATAATAACCAGGCATGGAGGTGTGCACCTGTGGCCCCAGCTACTCGGGTAGCTGAGATAGGAGGATCACTTCAGCCCAGGAGGTTGAAGCTGCAGTGAACCATGATTGCACCACCGCACTCTAGCCTGGGCAACAGAGTAAGACCCTATCAAAAAAAAAAAAAAAAAAAAAAGAAAGAAAGAAATTAAATAAAATAAAAAAGAAAAAGGAAAAGAAAAAACACAACTTTCTTAGGATGGGGAAAGTGAAGAAAAGAAAATAGAAACACTAATTTAAAAGGAACAAAAATGTGAAACAAGCAACCTGAAATTTTGAAAGGAGTTGCTGCATAGACCACCCTACGTGCTGAATCTGAGTTAATAAGTGCTTACAATTTGACAGGGAACTCCAGAAATAGGTTAAATAAATAGTTGTTACAGTTAATATTTGCATTCTAACCTGAGAAATCTCTGATTATAAAGTTGAGTATATTGTTTTTGTCATTGGTGGACTCCCCCAATCTACTTAGAGTGAAAAAAAAAGGCCAGTGAGTTGCTACATAAGAAACAAGTGGATATAACTCAAGGTTCCAATACATCTTTTTTATCTGTTGTTTTTTGTTTTTGTTTTTGTTTTTGTTTTTGTTTTAAATAGACACAAGGTCTCACTATGTTGCCCAGGTTGGTCTCAAACTCCTGAGCTCAAGTGATCTTCCCACCTTGGCCTCTCAAAGTGCTAGGATTACAGGCATGTGCCACTGTGCCTGGCCCCAGTACATCTTTTAAATCGACTTGGAAGGGAGCTAGAGTGTTGATTTCTGGGACATTACCATGAAACGTGGGGCTACATTGAATTATGACACTATACTGATAATCATTTTCATGATTTTGTACTATTTTTAGGTTCACTTGCTCCTGTCCTTTGTGGTAAGTCTTCTTAAATACTTGAAGAAAAGCTCTTATAATATTTTTTAAAAATATGTAATGCTAGAGGTCCTATATCCTATCTGATGATATATTTAACTCATAGGGAATGTTCTCTTTTTGGTGTTTTAAAGATACTTCAATGTACATGTCACATTACAAAATGTCACTTTGGCATAGAGTTGGATAAATTATTTGAACAGCCAGCTCTTTCTTCTTTTTAAATTGATATTTTAGTTTTTATTAACTGTTGGTGTTTGGCTTGATTTGGTCTATTGAAATAGGCAGGCTTCTTCTGCTGTAGCAAAATACATTTCACAGCTGAGAGTTAAATGTTATGCAAAATTATAAGAACCTGGTGTCCTGTGCACCTAATTTCTATTCTTGAGATTTCTCTCTTGTCACCTCAGTGACAAGATTGTTACTAATAAAACTAAAAGGAACAGAAAAACTCAATGAAAAGTTGACTGGAACCTTGTGGTCATGTGCTTGGTGCTTTAGATTAAAGGTGGACTGGATCAAATCAGAAAAACCTTAAGCTCAACTATGATTATTCAGGAATTCAGCATTTATGTCCAAGAAGAGTTAAGTATGAGTCACATAACATTTTCCCCACCACTAGCAATAGGCCCTGCAATCAGTCAGAACAATGTAGGTGATCGTCTTCTGGCATTTGATACTTGCTGGATTTTTCTTCTAGGTATTGCTGCAGGTTTGATACTTCTTACCTTCTTGATTGTCATTACCTTATACGTGATATCAAAACACAGAGCACGGTAAGTTCAAAGGCGAATACTTGATTGACCAACATGCACAAGTGGTTTCGGCTTCTTGTCTGAAACTAAACACAGAAGCACAAGTTATGTGAAATAAATACTGCAATGTGATAACTAAATGAAGTATCTCGTGCTATACAAAAGGAAGCCCTTTCTGTAGGACTTAAGAGATATCAAACACTTAGCTTATTTTATTGAATGATGTTTATTCAGATAGTATATTGTAAACAAATCTAGAGAATAGGAAAAAAATCCCAGTGGGAACGACTGCAAATACTTTGGTGTATTCGTATCTGATCTTTTTCGTATATTTTTTCTCTCTTTAAACTGAAATTTTGTCATTTTCATCTTCTGTCTTGATTTTTTTCATTTAGACTCATGTTTATGTTTTTATGCTTTAAGTCATGTTTTCAGTTACTAAATAGCATATTATTCTATTCTGTGTATTTATATATGTATTTATGTGTTTTAAGTTCCTTCCAAATTTACTTTGATAATATATAAAGATAGGAGTAGCACCTCTGGCTAAACCTTTTTTCATACCCACTTATTTCCTTAGAATAGATTTCTAGAATTACTAAAGATAAGTGCATGAGCATTTAATATACTTGATAACTATTGTCAGATGACTTGCCAGGAAGTTTGTTCTTAGTAATATTTAATGTACTGGGATATGTCGTGTTTCTCAACCCCTTTTCCTGCTTCATTGATTTGCCTGTTCCATTACAAACCACTTTGTGTTTAATTAATACCTTTATGTTATTATATCTGGTAGGGCAAGAATTCACACTACAATTTTATAGGACTTTCCTCTCTATTCTCTTCTGTTTGTTCCTATAGGTGATTTTTAGAATCATTTATAATTTCAAAAAAAAATTGTGATTACATTTAAGTCTATAGATAAATTTGTGAGAAATTGGCATCTTTTCTGTAATGTCTTCTCATTCAGAAATATACTAGGTCTTTCCATTTGATCAAGTAATCTTTTCTCTCCCTTAGTCATTTTCATGATTACTTAATATTAACTATATTACTACGTTTCTATGTTTTGGTATGTTATGTTTTCTTATCCAGAAATTAGATATATTTTTGCATATTATTTTTAATTATTTTTAAACATCTTAATCCATTAGGAATTTATTTTATGGTATGGTAGTTGAAGTAAACCTACTTGTACTTTTTTTCCCTATATATTCAATTTTTTCAAAACCTATTTTGAGTAAACCATCCCTTCACCATTGGTCATAGTTTTCTTTATCAGATAAAGCACGCCTATTCAATTCTTGTGTACACTGGGGCTTATGTCAGAGATATCTGACATAAATATGCAAGATAGATTATATTCCACTGATCGGCCTGTCTCTATGAGCCAGAGCTACTCTATTAATAAATGTAGCTTTTTCCGAGATGTGTTCCCCCTCTTCAAAACTATTTTGAAATTTTCTTCTATTTATTTTTGCAGATAGGCTATAGAATTATTTGCACCACGACTACACCTCCCATACCCTAGAAAAATAAAATAAAATCTTAGATCATTGATAGGAAGTGCCTTAAACCTATATATTTATTTGGGAAGAACTGACCTCTTCATGATATTCACTATTTCCTTCCAGAAATACCAGATGACTAATTATTCAGATGTTTTGTTATATTTTAGTTAAAATTTAATAGATTACCTTATATAAGCTACATAGCCATAAAAGTATCTTATTTTTATTGCTTTATAAATAGAATCATTTTTGGTTATGTCTTATAAGTAATTGCAAATGATATCTAGGAAAGTCTATCTTTATACAGTCATTAATTCTAATAGCTTTTCAGTGAGTTACCCAATCATCTAAGTAGAAAACTATATTTTCTACCAATTATTATTATTGGTAGAAATAATTTCTACCTCATATCTACCGATTATACATTTTCATTTATTTGTTTTTGTCTCATTTTACTGAGAAGAATTTTAAGGAAAATCTTCAGTAATATTAGGGAATATTGGCATATTTTAACCTTTATTTTTAATATAAAGCCTCTAGTGTTTTATCACTAAAAATGATACTGCATCCTTTTTTCTTTTCTATATTACATAAAGTGTATTTATAGTCACAAAAGTTGTTTTTCCCTATTTAAAATCACTGAAAAATCTTGTTTCCCTTCTTTAAGCATATTTTTATATCACTATAAATATTTGCATAAATTTTTAAAATACAAAAGTAAATATGCTTGTTGTAGCAAATTAGTTTATAAAGATACTGAATAGTCTCTTCCACTGAACAACTGCTGGTGCCTTCAAGTCCAACATATTAAGTTGATGGATGTCAGCAATTTGCTGTAGATACTTTCATATGTTGCTCTATCTAGTATATACATGCATGGCTTTTAAAACATTTGAGCAGTAATGTTAGAGAAATAGAAGTCATGCGAAAAGAGGAATGACCACGTCCATCCATTCTTTTCTTATACAACAATGGCTGAGTGCCTACTATGCCTTAGCACTATACTAGGCTAGAATCACAAAGCCTAGTAGCATATGGCCTCTGTCATCAAGGAGGTCACAGCCTGGTAAAGGAGGACAAGCATGTCGCTAAACAAGTACCATAAAATAACGTCGCCATGGTGGATTATATGATATTTGGTGAGGATGCAAAGCAAATGGTCAATATTTGGGAGTTTTAATCAGGAAAAGTTTCAGCGTGGAAGAGATGTTTCAGGTGAGCCTCAAGAGAGTGTAGACAAGAAGAGAAAGGCATTCCAGACAGAAAGAGCAGTTTGAATAAAGGCCCAGAGGCTTGGCTTTCCATCATGTGTTGTGAGAACTACATAACCCATTTGAAATGGCTGGGAAATAGTGTGTGTGTGATGGTGATTGAAGGCGAAAGTGGCATAGCTTTAGGTGGAGACATGCCATTAAAGAAAAAAAAAAAAAACCCTGACACGTAAATCTTGTGGAAGCTACAGAATACTAATATGTGCAAAGGATACATTTTTAACAAAGCATACCGTCAGGTGTTGGCCTCGGATGTTATGTGTGCATAGGTTCGTGAGTCTTTGTACATGCTAGTGTTAGGGCGGATAATCCAATGAAGTCTTACCAACTCTCAGGTAGCTCCGAGTGGGGAGATGACCAAGTCATGCCACCTAAAACATGTCACCAAAAAGCTCCAGCAAAATTTCTTTCACGTGCCAAGTCCCCTGCATCTATCATTTACCCTGCCACCAGTGCCATCTGATGCCATGGCTCAGTTATGTAATTCCTAGAATAGGCTCAGACATGAAGGGGTTGCACTGAAACTATGTACTGAGGGTATCTACGAACCTGGGCAGTTTGTTCTAGGCTGGAGGCGGGAGGGTGAGGGCTGCCTATGGGGTTCTGGCTGTCCTGTACAGTTAGCGTGTACTTAGAGTGTAGAGTTTACCAGAGTGTGTACCACACAACCCTGCTTTCATGAATGACTTCAGAAAAAAAGGGTGTTCTATGGCAAATAAGATTTGGACATACTGCACACTGTTTTTTTTTCTTGTGGAGAATCACAAGGACCATGAGAATATTTAATAAGAGGTTTTTTGCTATCAAGAGGACAGGATTTCCAGGACTTGGTGACATGCTGGATGTGGGGAGAAGGAGGCACATAGAATGGCTCACATGAAGGCGATGAGGTGGACCCCCTGACTCACTAAAAGAGGAGAGGGGCAGGATTTGTGGGGGAAGATGAGGAGTTCGGTTCTGACCTGGTACTTTGAGGTACTCATGATTTAGGGCTTGGGAGAAGGGTCTGGACTCGGGTGGGTGACACTTAAATCACAATGAAAGCTGTGGAACCAAAAAGAACAGAACAGATAAAAATTGGGATGAGAACAGCCCTCAGAAGAACAGTAATGTTCAAAAGGCAGAAAGTGAAGGAAGAGAGGCAGGGGGAAAACTAGCAGAGAGTAGCGTCACAGAATTCAAGGAGAAAAGGGTCTCAAAAAAAATTAGGGATGTCATTTGCAGGGCCTTCCTCATAGGAAGTCACAAGATAATTTCAGCCAAGAGGCATTAGAAATGTAAATACATAGAAAATACAGTCTCTATCTCTTTCCTTCATGCTACTGAGTTTGCTATCAGAGCACTGCATGTGTATAAAAATTTGCAAATTTGGGGAATGCTTACAAGTGCAAATAATTTATAATATTCCAGTCTAATTATTGTTTATTAATATGATTATATCATGTACTATACTTAAGTGCCTCAACTGATATGAAGCAAACATACCTGTTTAACCAGATTCCTAGTTGCCATTCATTTATTTCCATTTGCTAACCCACTTCAATTGATTTTCCAATAATTGATAAAGACACTTGAATGGCCTGAAATGCTTTTTTAAATGAGATGAGTAATCATTTAAAAATGAATGTCTAGTGACAATATTAAATATTTTGAAAAGCCATCTAAACACTTGAAAGACACTATGCTATTCTTTTCTAGTCATCTAAGATATTGTAACAAAGCTTAAATCTCACATTGACCTAAAAATTACTGTTTTATAATCTTCTTAACATATCTCCTGTACACGGAACTCTTCAATATTCTAGTGAGTGACATGCTGTCAGTGTCTTTAGCAGTATTCTTTCTTCCCCAGTAATTTTGTATTATGTTATTTTAGAGCTTTACATGGTAGTATAATCACATTTTATTGTCTTTTAGTAATTCTGGCAAAGTGGTTTTAGAAGCACAATGAAATATGTGTACTTTCAAAGAAGGAAAGTAAAAACATTCTCTTCAAACTCGTTTAAAGCTTTTAAGTCAGACTAGAACATTGAGTCCCAAAAGGGTAAAGTTATGATCTAAAATAAGAACTTATTTTTGCTTCTTTTCTTCAATTTGGAAGTTGTAGTTGTTAGTCATTAAGCGTCCTGGATCCTAGGGTAAAGCTGCTTAGTGTCAGCCTCTGACTTGAACACTTACAAGCCTAGATCATTCATTTTTTATGTGCCTTTCCAAAAAATGGAGTTACAGTGTTTACACTTCATAGGATAAAAACAATAAAAATGAAATCATCACAGAAAACCAAACACCGTATGTTCTCACTTGTAAATGAAAGTTGAACAATGAGAACATGTGGGCACAGGGAGGGAAACATCATACACTGGGACCTTTCACAGGGTTGGGGGTTAGGGGAGGGATAGTATTAGGAGAAATACCTAATGTAGATGACGGGTTGTTGGGTGCAGCAAACCACCGTGGCACATGTATACCTATGTAACAAACCTGCACATTCTGCACATGTATCCCAGAACTTAAAGTATAATTTAAAAAAATGAAATCATCCACAAAAGTACTTACCATGTGTTGGGAATTATGGAAAGCAAACAACTGCTACATTGAAACATGGTCAATGAGTAAAGATATTACATTTTTCTTTCTTCTTCTGTTTAGCAATTATTATACAGATACAAGCCAGAAAGAAGCTTTTCATTTAGAAGCACGAGAAGTATATTCTGTTGATCCATACAACCCAGCCAGCTGATCAGAAGACAAACTGGTGGTATGTAATGAAATGGAATATTATTAATTTACATATAAAATTTCCTTCAACTTGTATTTATCAATAAGCGTAGCATTCACGGTGTATATACATGCTTCTTACTATTGCACAAGTCTTCAGTAATCATGCATAGCAATTGTTCATTTACCTACTTCATTTTGCCAACTAATGTTCCAATTTTTTAATCCATTCATCCATTCAACAAATATTAAACTAAATAGCAAAACAACTAAGAATAAAATCAATAAGATGATAAGCATTATATAGAGACATAATAAAGCAGGCAAGGGGGATAAAGAGAACAGGGTGGTCGCAAGGGAAGCTCTTACTAAGAGAATGTCATTTGAGAAAAAACTCAAGGGAAGTAAAGAGCCAGGGCCGGCCTTGGTGGCTCACGCCTGTAATCCCAGCACTTTGGGAGGCTGAGGCAGGCAGATCATTTGAGGTCAAGAGTTCGAGACCACTCTGTTCAACATGGTAAAACCCTGTCTCTACTAAAAATACAAAAATTAGCCAAGCGTGGTGGTGTGCACCTGTGGTCCCAGCTACTCGGGAGGCTGAGGCAGGAGAATCACTTGAGCCTAGGAGGCGGAGGTTGCAGTGAGCCAAGACTGCGCCACTGTACCCCAGCCTGGACAACAGAGCAAGACTGCATCTCAAAAAAAAAAAAAAAAAAAAAAAAAAGCCAGCCATGTGGCCATATGAGGGAGGAGGATTCCAGAAAGAACAGTAGGTGCAAAGGCCATAAGGCAGTGTGTGCCAGCTGTGTTGGCGGCACAGCAAGGAGGCCAGTGTGGCCTACAGTTGTAGAGATGAAGTCACAGAGATGGGGGTGGGATGTGGGCGAGAGGATGATCGTACAAAGTCTGCTATGTCATTGTAATGGGATGGTGGGCAGGAGAGGATGATTGTATAAAGTGTGCTAGGTCATGGTAAAGAGATTGGTTTTTATTTGGAAGCTTTTAAGGAGAGGAGCAACACATTCACCTTAACTGCTGTGTTAAGAACAGACTGTAGGAAGCCATGGGTGGAAGATGGGAGTCAATGAGGAGGCTGCTGCAATCATCCAGGCAAGAAATTGTCAGTGGCTACCACCAGGTTGTAAGAAGAGGCCAGATTCTGCATGCAATTTTAAGACAGTGACAGTAGGATTCGTGGATAGTTTGTATCAGAATATGAGAGGAAGAGAGCTGTCAATAATGACACGAGGGCTTTTGCCTAAGCAACTGGAAGGATAGAACTGCCATTAATTACATGATTGAGATTGCAAAGAGCAGGACTGGGGAGAAAAATCAGGAGTTCCACTGTGGAGATGTTAAATGTGGATGTCTAATAGACTTGGCAAGAAGACAGCTGATGTACAAGTCTGTATTTTGGGCAATTGGTCCAGGCTGGAGATAAAAATTTGGGCTTTGTCATCATGTGGTTGTACATAACAAGGAGACTGAATAAGATCTCCGAGAAGTGAAAGAGGCTAGCAAAAAGAAAAGGTCCAAGTACTGAGCCCTGGATCCTCCAACATTAGAAGTCATGGAGTGAGAAGGCACCCACTAAGAAGTGAAGGAGCAGCCTCTGATACTATCCAGAGAAGAACCTTAAAGTCAGGCAAAGAAAGAATTTTAGGGAGGAGGGAGTGATCAACTCTGTCCAGTGTTGCTGGTAGGCCAAAAAAATGAGCCCTGAAAACTGACCATTGAAATTCAGTAGCACAATTTTTTTGCTGTTGTTGTTTGAGACAGGGTCTCACTCTGTCGCCCAGGCTGGAGTGCAGTGGTGTGATCTCAGCTCACTGCAGCCTCTACTTCCTAGGTTCAAGTGATTCTCATGCCTCAGTCTCCTGAGTAGCTGGGATTATAGGCAAGCAGCACAAAATTTGCTGCTGAACTTGACAAGACAGTTTTTGAAGAGAGGAAGGAGGCAGGAGCCTGACTGGACGGAGCTTAAGAGAGAATGAAAGGAGAGAAATTGCAGCTATCAAATACAGACAACTCTTTCTAGGTTTTTTTCTATAAAAAGGAGCAAATAAGTAAAGTGCTAGTAAGAGTAAAACATAAAGTCAACAGAAATATTTTTTAAGATTGGAGAAATAGCAGTTATGCCCTATTCCTACATGATGATGGGAATAATTTAGTAGAAAGGGAAAGAGTGATGGCAGAAAGAGAGAGAAGAATTGCTCGAACAAGGTCTGGGTAAGCTAGGAGGAACAGATTAAGCAGAGGAGCTCCTAGCTGCGTGGGCTTAGTAACAGGAGGGAGGGCAGAATCTGCAGGTGCAGATGAAGGCAGGTTGGGAGCTGTGATGGGGAGTGAACGTGTGGAAGTTCTCTTCCGATGATTCAGTCTTCTCAGTGAATAGAAAGCAAATTATTCAGGTGAGAGTGAGGCTCAGAAAGGAGGTATTAGAGAGTTAAGAAGAAAAAGGAAGGCATTAAATCATCAACTAAGAACTGAAGACTGAATTATAGGGAGTACAGAAAGGCCGACAGGCCACATGAGATGTGCACCTGAGTTTCCCATGAGAAAGTGGGGATGAACATTTGAAGGTTTACTCTGTCCGGGGATTATGTGACAGTCTTTCATGCCTTCTCTTACTTAGCCATCAGTACCACTTTGAAAGGTGGGTGTTCTCCCAAGATAATATCAAGATGAAGAAATAATATCCAAGAAAACCTTGGGCAAGGTCTCAGGGTCAATCATTGGCAAAGGTGGAATGCAAGCTCATGCCTGAGTTTAAACTGCTTTCTCCTACATAATCTAGAAAATAAAGATACCAGCCAGGAGTGGTGGCTCACGTCTGTAAACCCAGCACTTTGGGAGGCCAAGGCAGGCAGATCACGAGTTCAGGAGATCGAGAACATCTTGGCCAACATGGTGAAACCCCGTCTCTACTAAAAATACAAAAATTAGCTGGGTTTGATGGCACGTGCCTGTAATCCCAGCTACTCGGGAGGCTGAGGCAGGAGAATTGCTTGAACCAGGGAGTTGGAGGTTGCAGTGAGCTGAGATCACGCCACTGCACTCCAGCCTGCTGACAGAGCGAGACTCCATCTCAAAATAAAATAAAATAAAAAATATACCACCTCTGTCCTCTTGGAACTTATTTTAATAAGATAAATAAGACCCATAAATATCATAGGTAATAATACATACCATAAACAAGGTATAGAAAATCTGTGATGGCAGTTGAGGAAGAAAAGGTAACCTGCTGCTGGTGAGTCCTGACAGGGGGACCATACTAGTGACCTCTAAATCCAAACCAGTTGAGGTACAGAGTACACCTAGCTCATAAATATTTGTTGAATGAGTTTATGAATGAGAAAGATTAGTACTTTCATTTCTCATTTAGTTTAATTCATGTTTATATGAATGTATATAAAATGTAGTTATTTGTTCCAGAGCATGTTATATGAAGAAAGGCCTTTCAATAGAATGATATCTTCTAATAGACTTGATGCTTTGTTGGTTATACCAGCTGTAACTGGTATGTAAAGAGAATGTTAGCATTATTTAAACTTCGAGTTGCACCGCTGCTATTCATGCTGCCTCCTAAACAGAAATGATCTATTTCAGTGTGCCTCATTGCTTGGAATTCAGCGGAATATTGATTAGAAAGAAACTGCTCTAATATCAGCAAGTCTCTTTATATGGCCTCAAGATCAATGAAATGATGTCATAAGCGATCACTTCCTATATGCACTTATTCTCAAGAAGAACATCTTTATGGTAAAGATGGGAGCCCAGTTTCACTGCCATATACTCTTCAAGGACTTTCTGAAGCCTCACTTATGAGATGCCTGAAGCCAGGCCATGGCTATAAACAATTACATGGCTCTAAAAAGTTTTGCCCTTTTTAAGGAAGGCACTAAAAAGAGCTGTCCTGGTATCTAGACCCATCTTCTTTTTGAAATCAGCATACTCAATGTTACTATCTGCTTTTGGTTATAATGTGTTTTTAATTATCTAAAGTATGAAGCATTTTCTGGGGTTATGATGGCTTTACCTTTATTAGGAAGTATGGTTTTATTTTGATAGTAGCTTCCTCCTCTGGTGGTGTTAATCATTTCATTTTTACCCTTACTTGGTTTGAGTTTCTCTCACATTACTGTATATACTTTGCCTTTCCATAATCACTCAGTGATTGCAATTTGCACAAGTTTTTTTAAATTATGGGAATCAAGATTTAATCCTAGAGATTTGGTGTACAATTCAGGCTTTGGATGTTTCTTTAGCAGTTTTGTGATAAGTTCTAGTTGCTTGTAAAATTTCACTTAATAATGTGTACATTAGTCATTCAATAAATTGTAATTGTAAAGAAAACATACAACACTTGCCTTATTTTGTTTTTTTTTGGAGTCAATGAACTCTTCGATAACAGAGAGTCTTAGGGCTTTAAAGTCCACGATTTAACAGTTATTCATTCAGGATCCCATCACTTGGTCGTTTTAGCCAAACTTTTAACCCACAAATTCAATTTCCTCACCCTCAAGACTTTCTCTTATATTTGTCCAGCCAATACCTTCTCCGGCTCACTCATCCTCTCCCACCACACCCTTGATATAGATATAGCTGTTAATTTTCTCTGTTCCAACATTTAAACTATTGAGAAAATAAAACCTTGCTCACTGGTGACCACAAATTTACTCTGTACCTTCCCCTAGACTAGGTATGCTGTTCAGCATCTGTTTTTTTTCTGTTTTTTAAAATTGTGATTAAAAACACATAAAATTTACCATCTTCACCATTTTTAAGGGTACAGTTCGGTAGAGTTAGGTACATTCACATTGTTGTAGAGCAGATCTCCACAACTCTTTTTCTCTTATAAAACCAAGATTCTATATCCATTATATAGTAACTCCACATTCCCCCATCCCTTCAGTCCCTGGCAACCACCATTCTGTTTTCTGTCGCAATGAATTTGACTACTCTCAGTACCTCATATAAGTGGAATCATACAGTACCTGTCCTTTTGTGACTTATTTCACTTAGCATAATGTCCTCAAGGTTCATTAATGTTGTAGCATGTGTCAGAATTTCTTTCCTTTTTAAGGAAAGGAAGAAATTCATTGTGTGTATATGCAATTTTGTTTACATTTTGTTTATCCATTTATCTGTCGATAGACATTAGGTTGTGTATTAGTCTGTTCTTACATTGCAATATAGAAATACCTGAGACTGAGTACTTTATAAAGAAAAGAGTTTTAATTGGCTCATGGTTCCGCAGACTGTATGAGAAGCATGATACTGGCATCTGCTCAGCTTCTGGGGAGGCCCCCAGGAAACTGACAATTATGGCAGAAGATGAAGAGGGAAGCCAGGCATGTTTTACATGGCAGAAGCAGGATCAAGGGAGAGAATGGGGAGGTGCCACACACTAGAACAACACCAAGGGGATGGTGCTAAACCATTCATGAAGGATCCACCCTCATGATCCAATCACCTCCTACCAGGTCCCACCTCCAACAACTGAGGATTACAATTCGACATGAGATTTGGATGGGAACACAGCATTTTTCTGAGCCCTCCATATTTTTCCAACCTCTGCCTGTTACCCAATTCCAAAGTTGCTGCCGCATTTTCAGGTATCTTTATAGCAATGACCCACTCCTGGGTACCAATTTTCTGTATTAGTTTCTTCCCACATTGCTATAAAGAAATACCTGAGACTGGATAATGTATAAACAAAAGAGGTTCAATTGGCTTATGGTTCCAGGGTCTGTACAGGAAGCATGCTGCTGACTTCTTCCTGCCTTCTGGGGAGGCCTTGGGAAACTCACAACCATGGAGGAAGGCAAAGGGGAAGCAAGGCATCTCATACGGTGGGAGCAGGAGGAAGAGAGAGAGGGGGCAGGTGCTACACACTTTTAAACTACTAGATTTGGTGAGAACTCACTCCCTACATGGTACCAAGCTAATCCATTCATGAGAAATCCACCTTCATGATCCAATCACCTCCTAGTAGGCCCCTCTCCAACACTGGAGATTACAATTTGACATAATATTTGGATCCAAACCATATCAGGTTGTTTCCATCTCTTTACTATTGTGAATAGTGCTTCCATGAGCATGGGTGTGCAGATGTCTTTTCAGACATTGCCTCAATTCTTTTGGATCCATACCCAGAAGTGGGATGCTCTTCAGCACCTTTTATTCGTGTACAGTCAGCAACACTTTCATTTCCCCACATTGTCTGTTCACTCACCTCGAGCCATCTACTCTATTCTACATTCATTCATTCTTCCTTCTATTAAGGGATGATGAAAACATCCGAAGGTAATTCTCTTAACTTCCTCTCCCTCCACCTTCCATCCTATCTACATCCACTCACCCTTACCCTCATGTCTGTCTTCCACTTTTCACAGCCTATATCTTTCACTCTTCATCCCTTTCTGTCTTTTCCAGGACATTGTTCCTTCAGTTAGCCCCTCTCTCATCATTGGCTCCTTCGTTCCACCTCCAAAACTCCTGAAGCCAAGACCTGCTGAGCTGCATGTGACAGAAATCCACCTCACACTGGCTTAGACCAAAAATGAATTTTGCTAAATCACATGACAGAAAAGTCCAAGCATGTAGCTGGCTTTTGTCAAAACAGGAATAGTCAAAGGGTGCCTTCAGGAATATCTTCTCCTTCTGCTTTGCCTGGCTGGCTTCATTCTCTGGAAAAAACTCCCTAAAAACTGGCAAAATATTTACTGATGATGCAACATGCACGTCTCATCAGCTTAGCCTTCCAGTACAAAGAGCCTCTCGTCCAATAAGTCTTTCAAAAGTCCCTTCAATAGCTTTCATTCTCCAAATAGGGTTACATGCCCCCAAAGGAAACAATAACTAGGAGCAGGACAGTGAAATAAACACAGGGCAAGGCCTGAGTTGCCTGCCCAGCCTTGGAGATGGGGGTAGGGTTGGTCTACCTCATTGGTTCTCAGGTGGGATGATTTTGCCCTCCCAAGGACATTTGGCAGTGTCTAGAGACATTTTTGGTTACTACAACTGAAGGACGGAAGGGCTTCCAGCCTCTAGTAGGTAGAGGCCAGGGATACTGCCAAACATCCTCCAAGGCAAAAGACAGCCCTCCAGAACAAAGAATTATCTGGTCCACGATGTCAATAATATTGAGGTCGAGAAACCATAGTCTTCCAGAATCACACTGAACTATGGGAAAGAGGGGATTTCCCAGTGGAAAAATCTAGGGGCAAATCCCAGAGGAAGGGACCCATTTAGAGCAACAGATATCCACCTTCACCTCCATCTGAAAAAAATCTTCCCCCAAACCATCTATGTTTCTCGTTTAAACTACCTCTCTTACACCAAATTTTCTGAAAGAGTGGTTGGCCTTAGCTGTCTCAACCACTGTAGTCATTCATTCAAGTGATGATAATTATGGAGCTCCTTCTGTGTGCTAAGCATTATTTTAGGTCATGGGATTTGGCAGTCGTAAACTGACATGTTCTCATGCAGCTTTTATTCTGGTGGGAGAGACACACAATAAGCAGATTTTCAGTTGGTAATAAAATGAAAAAATGATAAGTATAATTTTTTAATCTATATGAAACAGGCAAAAAGGAAAGGAAGTTCTGAATTAATGTGCAATTTTAAATAGTGGCCAAGGAAGGCTCCATTAAGAAGGTCTCATTTGAGCCAAATAACTCAAGGAGATGAGGTAGTAGCCATGCAGAGCGATATCTGGGCAAAGAGCATTCTAAGCAAAAGGAATATTAAATGGGAGGAAAAAACTGAAGAGAAAAATACACCTGCTGCACTTGGAGAAATAATTTGTTTGCAAGCTGATGGTAAAAATCCAGCAGAAAGAGGTGTATGATAGTGCTGGAGGAAGTGAGAATTGCTGGTTTCCTTGAGTGAGTGAGAGCAAATCGAATCTAGGGCACAAGTGGAGAGATCACCCTTAGACTTAGACTGTGAACAGTATAATTATATTAACAGGAGAGACGGAGGTTTCATGGGCCAAATACAAGAATTTGGGTGGAGTGATGGTAGAAAATTGTAGATCTATTTGATTGTTTCTATTTTCTCAATAAAGAAAGAAACAAAGCCATTCACAGAAATTAAGAATGTTGGAGAAGGTGTCAGAAATAAATGTCAAAATAAAAATATGAAATAGTCATTTAGGAGAATGGGAGAATAAATGGATTAGACAAACAATAGTGGGAATGTCAGGCAGAAGTATAATGGTCCATTTGAAATTATTTGTTACTAAAGTAAGGCTAGTCATTGTGGCTATGTGTCTTTTCCAGCCACATTCAGTTTCACAGGTATGAGAGCAAAATAATGGAGAATTGATTCTAACCAGGAATGTTGTTTTGTCTAATGGCTATAATAACCCAAGAGAAGGGTGAGGGAGCTAACAGTGGGTGCAAGATGGTGATTATAATGACAGAGTATGGAATTTAACCTGGTAGTGATGAAAGTGAAGACACAAAGGAGGTGAGAAGCTGAGAGAGATAGCGGTAGGATCAATGGGCTGCAGGCACTGAGACAGACAAAGATTGCTGGATTCAGTTTAACGTTACTAGGGTAAAAGAAAAGAGTTGGATTGGTGGTTAGAGAGTGGGATCATTGAAATCACTGAGAGGTTGAAAGTGACAAGTCTCCGAGCATGCACATGAGCATTAGAGTCAGAGGAGAGTGGAGGACAAGACCACAGGCAGAGAAGAGGTCAAGGCACTGGAAGGCCAGGGATTTGAAAATACTATTGCTGTGAATGTTGAAATCACCAGGAACTGTGGCAGAAGTAACAGTGGAGAAGGTGGCCATGAGCCAGGAGCTCAAACTTTCAAGGAATGAGGGAGAAAGTAGATACTAGGAGATGGATACCAGCAGAAGTGGTAAGGAGTGGCACCTTCTGATAGCATGTGATGTAAAACTGGGGAAATGAGCCTTCTCCTCTTCTCTTTTCCTAAGCCTACTACAATCTGGCTGCTACTCCCATTACTCTGTTGAGAATAACTTGAAATGATGATAGCAAATCCTTAAAAGAATGTCACTGGATGTACTAAAAACTGTGATAAGTGATATGATCAAAGTAGACATTTCTTCCACTAGAATTTTGGGAGGAAGCCTAATGGAAACCAATGCGCACAGAAAGACAAATGCTGTATGTTATTAGTCATATGTGGACTCTAAAAAACTCATCTCATAGAAGTAGAGGGTAGAATACTGGTTACCAGAGGCTGGGGAAGGGAGAGACAATGGGAGATGGAGAGAGATTGGTTAAAGGGCACAGGATCACAGATAGATAGGAGGAATACATTCATCCTTGAATACTTAACCCTCTGCCCTAAATCTGTCAGTCCTACATCCATACTTCTTATTTCAGTAAGTAGCACCACCATTCATTTCTAATCCTGGGGCTAACTCTTTTTTTTTTTTCTTTTCTGAATCATGTCTCCTTTTAATGGTTAAGGAAAACAAGTTTAACATAAAATTAGCAACAACAACAACAACAACAACAAAATCAAGGTTTAAAGTCAAAATTATTTTAAGAGAAAAACCCAGGCAAAATAGCCTACCTACAGGCAGGCAGTACATGTCAGAAGGACAGGCCACCCCCAATAAAAAAGATAAAATATTATTTTTTCTACCTTTTTTAAACTTAATTATTTAATTATTTCTTTCTTTTTTCTTTTTTTTGTTTCTTTTTTTTATTATACTTTAAGTTTTAGGGTACATGTGCACAACGTGCAGGTTTGTTACATATGCATACATGTGCGACGTTGGTGTGCTGCACCCATTAACTCGTCCTTTACATTAGGTATATCTCCTAATGCTATCCCTCCCCCCTCCCCCCACCCCACAACAGGCCCCGGTGTGTGATGTTCCTCTTCCTGTGTCCATGTGTTCTCATTGTGGAAGCTGGAAACCATCATTCTCAGCAAACTACCGCAAGGGGGCTAACTCTTGATTGCTTTCTTCTCACCACCAACCTTAAGAAAGGAAGTAACCAAAATCCAATACATGAGCAACTGTTCATTCCATCTCCAATATCTTTGTTAATTGTCCACTTTATCCACCCAGTCAGGGCCGCCATCAAACCTCACTTGGATGTCGGCAAAAGCTCCCCTGACTGGTCTTCGCAGTCCATTATTGCCCTATTCTAATCTACCTTCCATACTATACACAGATTTACATTTTTTAAATGTGTATCTAATTGTCCCTCCCTTTTAAAAAATCTTACAATGGCATGACGTCTCAATTCAGGGTAAGGAAATTGTTTCTTCACATTCCCTGTACACCGTACACATCGCCTGCAATTGCCCTTCAACACGGAGAGCAGGCATTTCATTAGCTGACCTTCCCACACACATTCTTGCAAAGAGGAAAAGTTAAGCAGGGTGTTTGGAGGCGAGCTGCCATCATCCACCGCCTTTGTCTGGAAGCGCAGGGCCTCACACGCGGGATCCATCGGAAGCCCGAGCATTGTCAAGCTCTGCTGCTGCACCTGGGTCAGCAAGGTGGGCTCTGCCAGCGAAACTCGTTAGAAACAATGCAAATGGGGAGTAAACATGACCTCGCCCATGAAGGGGAAGCTGTGGTCAAAAGCATTTTGTCCCGGAACCCCGCAGCCCTCCCCACACTCTGGGCGCGGAGCACAATGATTGGTCACTCCTATTTTCGCTGAGCTTTTCCTCTTATTTCAGTTTTCTTCGAGATCAAATCTGGTTTGTAGATGTGCTTGGGGAGAATGGGGGCCTCTTCTCCAAGAAGCCCGGAGCCTGTCGGGCCGCCGGCGCCCGGTCTCCCCTTCTGCTGCGGAGGATCCCTGCTGGCGGTTGTGGTGCTGCTTGCGCTGCCGGTGGCCTGGGGTGAGAGGCGGGCGGGCGTGGGGAGGCGCCCGGGCGGACGAGGAACCCGGGGCCCCGCAGAGAACTCGCGTGCAGCGCTGAGCTGCGCTGCTCTGCGCGCCCGGGTCCGAAGGCAGCGCGATGGGTGGGCTGAGCGCGCGACCCGGCAGGGCGGCGGGTGTAGGATCCTTCTGCGCACTGGAGACCCTCGCTGCTTCTGGGTAAGCGTGGAGTTCCCAGGTGCAGGGGCTTAAGTCGTGACGAGCGCAGTGGAAGGCGCAGATGCTGAGCGGGTGCCGCACGAAATTCCTTGCCTTTGTGTATTCACAGCCTCGGCTGGCTATAGCCAAGACGTGGCGTTGATCCTAGTGAAAGGGAACTTGGGGATCCGACAAACCTGAGTTCTGGTCCTAGAAACTTAACTGTGAGGCAACTTAGCACACCTGAGTCTGTTTGCTCTTCTGTAAAATGGGGACACTGGTATCTCTGCATCGTGGAGTTGCTGCCTCAGTGGCATTAAGCCTGTCGAGTATCTAACACAGGGCTATGTGTCCCCGAGTCCATTTCTATCCCCCAACCGTTACCTCTGTACTTTGCTCCCAATGGTGTTTAGACAAGCAGTCCTAGGGATGCAGGTGTTACCTGACAACTGCCCCGCATGGAACTGTCCTCGCCCCCCACACCAAGCCACCACGGCCATCATCACCATGCACTTAATTGACAGCATACTTTAAGACAGATGCATGCCAGGCACTTGCGGATTAGAAGAGCAAGGGAAGCCCCAGAACATGCAATGTAACCGTTGCAGGTAGAAGGGACAGTAGATATGTTTACAGTTCGCATTTTAGTGATGTGTTTAGTACAAAATAACGCCTATTATAATTATTATGGAAATTTTGAGGCCACATCTCTTCCTTTTTCTTAACTTCAAATAGGTAAACATCTTCAGTTAGAACCCTTCTATTATTATTTTTCGGCTCCCCAGAAGTCTTCTTGGTTGCCTAGACTCACTGGCAACATCTCATTTGAAGTGACAGTCTTGGTTGTTTTTGTCCAGCCTATTCCTGACAACTCCGGGTTCGCCCTTCTCTGCCACTAGACATTTTACATTCATTATTTGAGTGTTCCTTCTTCTCTAAAAGAGTAAATAAAATAAAATAAAGTAGAACCAAGTCCCGCAAGAGTTGTTATTAATATTTGATCTCCTTAGGCACCAGAAAGTAACCTGTCAGGTGCAGAGATGTGATAAAACGTACAATCTTATTTTTAGGAGAGAAGCATGCCCAGTAAGTTAAGCAATCTGTTGTCAACGCTTAGGAATTTGTGTCATCTTTGGGAGTACTGGCCCTCTTCTTACTAGAATGTTGTTTTACTTAGCCTATGTTGATTAAGTTACTGTTATAAACAATCCCAGACACTATTAATTGCAAAAAAAAAATTTACTGAGGTTATCACAATAACTTCCAAATGTGAAACAGCCTAAACTAAACTACCTAGAAATTTTGTTGCTGACATAATTTAAATTTTAAAATGCTGATGGATGCTTCCAGTGTGCACGGTCCTTTGGAATTTTAAAGAAGTATAAGAGCTCTGCACCCAAAGTGTATGCATATAGAAGTAGGTGGTGGAGTTTTATGAAATCTACTTATTAGGAAGCCAGCGTTCTGCTTTTTCCAGCCTCTGCTACTTACCAGCTGGTGTCTTGGACCCAGTAAGTTAAGTCACATCACTGACCTTCAGTGTCCACATGTATAAAATGAGCACAACTGACATCCTGATCTCTGAGAGAGACGTTTTGAAAATCAGATGGTGTAATGCATGTGACAGTGTTTTGTAATCTGAAAACCCCCATGCATGTCTGAAAAACCATGACTAAGAAGTCGTGCAAGACTGCAGGATCACCGAAAAGCGAGAAATCTCAACTCCTATGATCAGGAAAGGATGAGTGAAAGGTATATGGCTTTACTAGCACTTAAAGAGTGAATCTAGAAACAGATTGCATACGACAAAAAATAGCAGAGGAGCTAGGATTGTTTTGTTATTATGAGTTACTCACAGTACCCGTAAAGTGGTATAGTGCTATTTGAAAGAGGACTTAGATTAGCTGCAAATAGATATTGCAAATGTAGGACAACCCCTGAAAAATGTGAAAAAAAGAACTATAATTTATATGTTAATAAGTAAGAGAGAATTGCATCATATAAAATGCTCAGTTAAAACAATAAAGATGGCTGGGGACAGTGGCTCATGCCCATAATCCCAGCACTTTGGGAGGCTGAGGTGGGTGGATCACCTCAAGTCAGGAGTTCAAGACCAGCCTGGCCAACATAGTGAAACCCTGTCTCTACAAAAACACAAAAATTACCAGGGCATGATGGTGGGTGCCTGTAGTCCCAGCTACTCGGGAGGCTGAGGCATGAGAATCGCTTGAACCTGGGAGGCGGAGGTTGCAGTGAGTCGAGATCGTGCCATTGCACTCCAGCCTGGGTGACAGAGCGCAACTCCAAATCAAAAAAAAAAAAAAAAGAAACAAACAAACAAAACAAAAAACAATAAAGGGCAGGAAAAGAATGGAAGACAAAAAATAGAAACAGAGAACAAGAGAAAAAAAGCAACAAATAAAAACCAGTAACAAAACTAAAGCAACTATATCAACAATCATTTTGAGTGTCAATGATCGAAATGCACCATTTGAAACAGATCATCAGAGTGGATCAAGAAACAAGACCCAACTATATACTGTGTACAACAAGACCGTTTTAAATATAGACAATATATATGAAAAGTAAATGGATAAAGATATACCATGCTAATGCTAGTCACAGAAAGCAGGAATAGCTGTGTTAATTTCAAACACAGCAGACTTCAGACCAAGAAAAATTATTAGGGATAAAGAGGGGCATCATATAATGATAAAGGGGCCAATTATCCAAGAAGACGTAACAATATCCCATATGTATGCACCTGATGGAGAGACAAAATACGTGAGGCAAAACCCATAGAACTGCAAGGAGAAATAGATGGATTTACTATCATAGTTGGAGACTTCTATGATATCTTTCTGATATCAGAAAAGGTGCTGAAGTCTCCTTATCAGAAATGGGCAGATTCAGCAGGCAGAAAATCCGTAAGGACATACTTGAATTCAACAGCACCATCAATCCACTTGGGTATAATTGACATATATAGATGACTTCATCCACAACAGCAGAGCACATATTCTCCCGCTTACATTCATGGGGATAGACCACATTCTGAGCCATAAAATAGTACACGAATTAAGCTTTACCAGGCAGTGTTTAATATAGGGTGGACTCTGGCGCCCTCACGTGGTCCTCATATAGGATCTGGTTTGGTTATCCCTGCTAGGTAAAGGTGCAAGATAGAAGGGAAGTTCCAATTTGCTTTCTGTGCTTTGTGGTGTATTTTGGTTTACATATGCTCAGATGAGTGGATGTGTGATTTATATTATCTATTTTAATCTAAAATAAGCTTCACATTTGGACAGGTAACATCAAAAGTGTCCTACACAGAAATGCTGGGTGAAGATCCCAGTAATAAAACCAACTCCAGAAAACAAGAAAATGGTAGAGTTGACAATCCCTCTCACCCTCTCCGCAAAGACACATGTATACACATTTTTTGTCAGAGGCATTAAGTAGAAGAAATGCTGTCAGTCTAATCACAACTGATCACAACTCGATGAAACCAAAAAACCTAGAAAGTATCATGAAGACTGTCGAAATAAGCTTTACATTCACTATTGTGAACAGAGAGACTCAATGTGACTGTTTTTTGTCCCGTTAGATGTTAGCTAATGATTGTGCTAAGTCATGATGATTAACAAAGCATTTAAAATATTTATTTTATCTGTGTTACATTTCAAAAATTTATATTGAGGCATATAATTTATGTTCGTGTACATATATAATTTATAAATTTATATATTTGAAAGGGCATGCTCTTTTTTTAAACTGATAGAGGTGCCTAAGCAAAGCAAGTGCAAATCTATTCCTTAAAGGGTAAGTATGCAGAATGGAAAGCAGAGTGTTCTTTGGGTTGACAGCTCATATTGCAACAGACATGAAAGTGATGATGTGTTAATTGTGCATATAGCACAGAATACATCAACTTGCTTTGAATGGAATATCTGAACCAGGAGAATGTGAAAGTGGGCTGAGTCATACAAGACAAAACCCGAAATGAGATAACAATACATACCCACTAGAATGACTAAAATGAAAAAGATTGACCGAGCCAAGTGTTGGCGATAAGGTGGAGTAACTGGAATTATAATATACTGCTATTTGGCAGGTAAAATTATAACATTAACTTTAGAAAATAGTTCAACAGATTCTTAAAACCTTAGACACACACTCAACATTTTACTCTTAGGTTTTTACCCAAGAGAAATGAAATCATATGTCCACACAAAGACTTGTACATGAATTTTCATAGCAGTTTTGTTTGTAATAGCCAACACGTGGAAACAATCCAAATGTCCCTCAACAAGTAAATGGATAAACTAAATTAAGATATATTTATGCAATTGAATATTACCCAGCAACTAAAGGAAACAATTTGTATACATGCAGCAACCTAGATGGATCTCTAATTATGCTGTGTGAAGGCTAAACCATAAAAAAAAACCTGAGTGATTTCCTTTATACAATAGGATATAAATGAAGTGATTTAGGTTATATGAAATTTTAGAAAGTCAAATCAATCTGTAGTAAGAGAAAACCACCTGAGTTATTTCCTTTATATGATAGGATATAAACGAAGTGATTCGGGTTATATGAAATTTTAGAAAGTCAGATCAATCTGTAGTAAGAGAAAACACATTGAAGGTTGCCTAGAGAAGGAAGTGGATGTTTGGATGGATTACAGAAGGGCATGAGGGAACTCTGTGTGGGTGGGATGTATGATGGAAACGTTTATTGTCTTCATTTTGGTGATGGTTTCACAACGCATACATATGTTATAAGTAATCGAATTGTACACTTCAAATACTCATCAATCATTGTATGTAATATATCTTGATAAAGCTATAAAAACTTTTAAAATTATGGTAGGTCTTCAGTTTGTGGATTTTATATTAATATATTTGTCATAGGAACTAGTCACAATTGAGGGATTGGTAATAAAGGAGAGAAAGGAAACTACATCAAGCTTTCTTTGTTGAAGGCTCATATATTCCTTTTTTGAGCTATTATACAACTTTGCTTTTTATAATTACCTATACTATTCATATACTACTATGCAGGTAAGAATATTATGTAATTAAGGGGAAGGAACTTCTTTCCAAGAATGGTTCATTCAATTTGCTTTGTTACTTTAGGTCTCATTCCTTCCTCTCGTTGCAAGCTTTGCTGTGACATTTACCCTCTCTCAATACAGCTTTTGGCGCTAGGCACTTCACATGGAATCTCTTCCTTTGTCCGGCATCAATGGATAAGACAAATATCAAAATTGTATTTCATCCCACATATCAACTAGAGGAAAGGTGAATGCATAACACTGAAAATAACAGCAACTGTTTTACTCAGTGTTTTTTTTTTTTACAGTATCCTCAAAGTGCTGTTATCTATCAAAATCAGCTGTGAAAATTTTTAAAAATAGACTCCTGGGCCCTAACCTAGACCCACTAAATCAGAGATTTGGGGGACATAGCTTGGATTCTTGATTTTTTTGAGTTTTATAAGTAATTCTTCATTTTTTGTTCATTGCAACAAATATGCATTGAGTTCTTATAATTGAGTGTTAAGCACCAGGACTAAGTATTAATTTAGAGGTACAAAAAAACACATCATCTCTTGCCTTTAAATTATGCATATCTAATATCTATTGAGAGAAATAGATACTTCTAAAAGCACACAAAGATAAAAAGCACAAATTGTAATAACAAACAATTATTGATATGAAAGGAAAAGCAAAGTGTCGGACTAGAAATTATTATAGGGTGGGGCAGAGGGAAGTAGTTTAGATTCCAAATCCCTAAGAGGGTCAGGGAAGGCTTCAGATGAGATTGGGTGTGTTCAGGGTGGTATGGCCATAGGCAGGCTGGGGAAGGCTTCTATAAGAAAGTGACATTTTAGCAGATGCCTGAAGGAAGAATTGAAGTCAGAGTGAAGATAAAATTGCGTCACATAGAAGGAATGTCATAGACGGGAAAAATGTGTGTCTTTGGGAAACTGAAAAAGGGGAAAGGGCCACACCTTGGTGAGGGGACCAAGTGGCACAAGATGAGGCAGGGAACATAGACAAGGGCTTCCTTGCTTAACAACTGCTGGCTTAATAAAGCAAATGTGTGATGATGGATACAGGCTGTCTGGGAAAAATAAGTAAGAAATATGAGCTTTCTTGGAGCATCATCCTTTGCTTCAGTAGAAAGCACAGAGTTAGGCTTCCAATTCTGACTAAAGCCATTGACAACAGGGAAAAGGCAACCTTAGGAATTCTCCTCTCTGTCCGGGGTCCCGTGGGCACTATGATGGAGCTCATGAGATGCAGATGAGAAGTCCCAGGCTGAATCCGGGGCACATTCACTCAGGAGAGCTGAGGTCACCAGTCACTGAGGTCATCCAGTGCATTCCCGACAGCATAGGCTCATTCCAAGCTAGTTCTGCAAAGGAGCAGAAAATGAACTCTTGGAAGCAAAGCAAGCACTCCCACTTTAGCGGAATAATCGAATTTAACTCTTAGAAGTCCCCTTACCCTTTTCTAAGGGTAATAATCGTAAGTATAATTTATGAAGTGCCTTCTGTGTATGTGGCAGCATATACTACTTTTGATTCTCCCTGCAAACCTGGTAGGAAAATATTATTCCCTTTATGAAGATGAAACTGAGGCTCAGCAAGATTAAGCGGTTTGCCTAAGACCTCATAGCCACTAAGTAGAAGACATTGGGTTCAAGATTCAATCTATGAACCCAACATTTTTAATACTATATACCATTCTCTTTTTGTATTAATTTCCTATTGCTGCTGTAACAAATTTCCACAAACTTAGTGGCTTAAGACAACAGAAATGTATTCTCTTCCAGTTCTGGAGGCTGACGTCTAAAATAGATCCATAGGGCTGTGTTCCTTGTGGAGGCTCCAGGGGAGCAGGGGTTTTCTTGCTCTTTCCAGCTTCCAGGGGCTGCTTCCGTCCTTTGGCTCTTGGCCTCCTTCCTCTACCTTCCAAACCAGCACCATAGTGTCTCTGAATATCCTTCTTCTGTCTCCTTTCACCCTCTTGCCTCCCTTTTATAAGGACCCTTGTGATCACATTTAAGGTCCACCTAGATAACCCAGGATAATCTGCCCATCTCAAGATTCTTAATCACATCTGCAAAGCCCTTTAACCATTACAGGTAACAATCACAGGCTTCAGGGATCAGAACATGGATATCTCTGAGAGGTCCTTACTTAGCCTACCACACCTTTCCATATAGATTCTCAAAATTTTAGCTGAGCCTAATAAGGGAGTTCATTACCATTAGGGTCCGGTTTAGTAGCAAGTGCTTCCTTTAAGTGAAAAGGTGAAAGTTGTCCACTTAATAAGGAAAGAAAAACATTGTATGTTGAAGTTGCTAAGACCTAAGGTAAGAAGGAATCTTCTATCGATGAAATTGTGAAGAAGGAAAAATAAATTTGTGCTAGTTTTGCTGTCACACTTCAAACTGCAAAAGTTACAACCACAGTGCATGCTAAGTGCTTAGCTAAGAGGGGAAAGGCATTAAATTTGTGGGCGGAAGAGGTGAACAGAAATGTGTTCTAATTGACAGCTGTCAGGTTTGGTACTATCTGAGGTTTTGGGTATCGGCTAATGTCTTGGAACATGTCCCCCAAAGATAAGTGGGTGACTACTGTATATTCAAAATAAGCATTTATATACTGGGGAGTAAATCTCCCATGTTATTTGTGTTTTATTTGTCCCACAAATAAAGTAAACAAAGTAGAATTTTAGGCAAGATTCATTTCTAGAGGCAGAGATATTTTATTATAATAAAGAAGGTTGCTCTACCATAAAATATAGCAATTTAAATTTTTATAATCCTAATAACCTCAAAATATATAAAATAAAAGATGGACAACATTATAAAAAGAAATAGACAAATGTACAATAAATAAAATATTTTAACACAACTCATTATCTAGTAAGACAAGTACTCCCCCCAAAATCAGTAAAGTATCTAGAAGATTTGAATAAATATTAACAGATTGGATTCACTGACCTTGTTACAAGAAAGAATTATACATGATGATAGGAGAGAGGAAGCCACAGCACAGGCACTTACTGATTAACTAAATTTTGAAGCTGTGAAATGCACCTTATCCTTTAGTGAAAGATGATATAAATAGCTTAGTTGCCTTCAAACTGGCAGAGACTTTTTGAATGGATGGATGCTGATTTTTTAAAAAGGAGCCCATTTCTGAGGCATCTTTTAAAGCAGGGGTCCTCAACCCCTGGGCCATAGACTGATACTGTCCAGTGGCCTGTTAGGAAATGGGCAGAACAGTAGGAGGTGAGCAGCCAAGCATTACTGCCTGAGCTCCACCTCCTGTCAGATTAGTGGCAGCATTAGATTCTCATAGGAGCAGAAACCCTATTGTGAACTGTGCATATGAGGGATCTAGGTTGCATGCTCCCTATGAGAATCTAATGACTGATGATCTGAGTGGAACAGTTCCATCTCAAAACCATTTCCCTGCACCCTCCATTCACGGAAAAATTGTCTTCCACAAAACCAGTCCCAGGTGCTAAAAAGGGACTACTGTTGTAAAGGAATAAGTCCCTTTGCTATTATTATTTTTATTAAGATGGAATCTTGCTCTGTCACCCAGGCTGGAGTGCAGTGGCACAGTCTTGGCTCACTGCAACATCTGCCTCCTGGGTTCAAGCAATTCTCCTGCCTCAGCCTCCCAAGTAGCTGTGCACAGGCATGTGTACAGGCAAGTGCAATCATGCTCTGCTAACTTTTTGTATTTTGGGAGAGGCAGTGTTTCACCATGTTGGCCAGCCTGGTCTCAAACTCCTGACCTCAAGTGATCCACCCACCTTGGCCTCTGAAAGTGCTGAAATTACAGGCATGAGCCACCACTCCTGCACCCCTTGGCTATTATTGAAGTGTTCTTTTTCTTTTTTGATCACATCTATGAAGTATATTGGAGAGAAAGAGAAGGTAGAATGGGAATTTCAACAGGGTCACGGTGGCTCACTCCTGTAATCCCAACACTTTGGGAGGCCAAAGTGGGTAGATGACCTGAGGTCAGGAGTCGAGACCAGCCTGGCCAACATGGTAAAACCCCATCTCTACTAAAAATACGAAAATTAGCCAGGTGTGGTGGTGGGCACCTGTAATCCCAGCTACTCAGGAAGCTGAGGTAAGGACAATTGCTTGAACCCAAGAGGCGGAGGTTGCAGTGAGCCAAGATAGCGCCACTGCACTCCAGCCTGGGTGATGGAGCCAGTCTCCGTCTCAAAAAAGAAAAAAAAAAGTATGGTAATTTCTCCATTAACTTTGATGCTTCTATGGTCTTGATCTCCAGGTCAATGCAATGCCCCAGAATGGCTTCCATTTGCCAGGCCTACCAACCTAACTGATGAATTTGAGTTTCCCATTGGGACATATCTGAACTATGAATGCCGCCCTGGTTATTCCGGAAGACCGTTTTCTATCATCTGCCTAAAAAACTCAGTCTGGACTGGTGCTAAGGACAGGTGCAGACGTAAGTAACTCTGGAGTGGGAACCCCCCTGTTAGTCAAACATCTGTAAGATCTGATTCAATTTGTTCAAATTTTGTAACTGAGTTGCATATGACAATTAGTTTGCCAAGGTGCAATACATATGAGAATTATTCTTGTAGATCATACCTTGTTACTGCTTTGAGTTCCTGGCGCCTTCATTAAAAGTTTATTTCATGAGAAACAGTCATTGCAGGACATGATTGAGGGAAAATCCCCATTCACTGGGGGTCTCCCATTTTCATGACTAAAATTAAGTAATGAATGACTTGGGACAAGAAAGAGAAGTGGATTAAATAACTAAAAGATGTGACAATCTTGGGCTTTGAGATCTTTGGATTATACCAGTTGAATTGAATTACAGATAATAACAAAGTTTACATTTTTCTGGGAGGCATAATATGGGGATGAAACAGATCTGAAAGGAAAGTTTTTTTTGAAAGGGAGCTGATCCTGAGGCAGTCTGGTGAGTTTCCTCAAGGTAGCAAAATCTGTGGAACCATCAGAACTGCGTGTGTTCCTCAGTAAGCTACAGGCAGGTTGAGACCTTATGTACTAAAAAAAGTTTTTAGTTTACTCTACTTGGCTCCAAAATTCTGTTTCTTTCCTGTAGGTAAATCATGTCGTAATCCTCCAGATCCTGTGAATGGCATGGTGCATGTGATCAAAGGCATCCAGTTCGGATCCCAAATTAAATATTCTTGTACTAAAGGGTGAGTTGGCATCTCTTGAACCAACATCTCTTGGTTCAAGAGTTCTAACACAGCCTTACTACCTTCTAGTCACATGTCAGAAAGGACAACTAAACTATTACCATCTGCTCTTTAACGGCTTCAACACAGATGTTTAGCTCCTGACTGAAATGAGCAAAGGTATGACAAGATCGGGGGAAAATCATCTGTATCCTTGCTGGAAACCAAGGCAGAGCATATATGAAAAGTGTGGCATTCATTGGGTGGGAAGGAAGAAAATGGGGGAAGAGTATAGTCAAAGCACACAAACAGCCTTAACGCAGAGGGGACATTGCTGGAAGAAAGGGAAGGCCATTGAGTAACTGTGTGAGAGAAATCTTAACGGTCATAGCACAAGTAGTTTGCTAGGGCTGCTGTAACAGAGTACTCCAAAACGGGTGGCTTAACACAAATGAAGTTTTTAAAATTCTGTTCCGGAGGCTGAAAGTGCAAAATCAAGGTGTTGGCAGAGCCATGCTCCCCTCTAAAACCTGTAAGGATGGATCCTTCTTTGCTTCTTCCAGCTTCTGGAGCCCCAGGCCTTCCTTGGCGTGTGGCAGCAGAACTCCCGTTTCTGTCTCTGTCCTCACATGGCCGTCTTCCCTCTGGGTCTGTGTCCTCACATGCTGTTTTCCTGTCTGTGTATGGCTGTGTCGAAAGTGCTCTCTTTTAATAAGGACACCAATCATAATGGATTAGCGCCCACACTAACGACCTCATCTTAACTGGATTGCCTCTCCAAAGACCATATTTCCAAATAAGATCACATTAATAAGCACTGGGGATTAAGACATCAATATATTTCGGGGTAAGGGGGACACAATTCTCATTCATTGCTGGTAGGAATGCAAAATGGTACCATGACTTGGAAAGATAATTTGGCAGTTTTTTATAAAACTAAACATACTCTTACCATGTTATCCAGCAGTTATCCTTCTTGGCATTTATCCAAAGGAATTGAAAACTCATGTTCACACCAAAAAAAAAAGAAATCTGCACACAGATGTTTATAACAGCTTTATTCATAATTGCCAAAACTTGGAAGCAATCAAGATGTCCTTTAGCAAGGGAATGGATAAACTGTGGTACATCCATACAATAGAATATTATTCAATACCAAAAAGAAATGAGCTATCAAGCCATGAAGAGACATAGAGGAACCTTAAATAGTGAACCTTTTTTCACCATCACTAAGTGAAAGAAGCCAATCTGAAAAGGCTACATAACATATGATTCCAACTATATGCCATTCTGGAAAAGGCAAAACTATGGAGACAGTGAAAATATCAGTGGTTGTCAGGGGTTAGGGAAGAAGGGGATGAATCGGAAGAGCACAGAGGATTTTGAGGGTAGTGAAACTACTCTGTATGATGCCATAACAGTAGGTACATGTCATAATAAATTTATCCGAAGTCATATAGTGTACAATACCAAGAGTGGACCCTAACATAAACTATGGACTTGGGGTGGCCATGATGTGTCAGTGTAGGTTCCTCAATTGCGAAAAACGTACCACCCTGGTGAAAGATGTTTATAATAGGGGAGGTTATCCATGTATAGGGGCAGGGAGTACATAGGAAATCTCTGTATCTTCTGTTCATTATTGCTGTGAACCAAAAACTGTGCTAAAACACAAAGTCTATTTTTTAAAACTGCATAGACATAAATACATGGGCATATGTGCATAAACAGACACGCACACAAATAAGTGCAGGTAAAACAGGAAATTTGAACAAAATCTGTGGATTATAACTGTTTCAATATCTTAATGTTGATGTTGCACTATTGTTTTGCAAAATGTTATTATTAGGGGAAAATTGAGTAAATAGTACCTGGGATCTCTCTGTACTATTCCCTGCATGTGAATCTGATTATCTCAAAGTAAAAAGTTTTTTTTTTTTTTAAAGTTCCTACTAAATTTCCAAGGGGATGGGCTTCCCCTCAGATCACTACCCCTTTTCAGGGAGCAATAAAGTAATCTTCCTTGGAATGTAGCAATCTGTAACCAATCAAAATGCTGTAACTATGCATGGTCCCATATGGAAAATATAATCCTGCTAAAATTTCTCTGTCTCTGCCTATGTAAGTGATACCTTATGTCCTCCACTTTGGAGTGCTGACCCCATTCATTTGGAGTTGGTCTCTTCCAGGTGGCTACCCTTAACCTTTGTGCTCAAATAAACTCTATCCTTAAATATATTTTCTGAATCTCATTATTTAAGGTTGAAAATGTGCTAACCTAAATAATTCACAGGATTTGTTTTTTATTCTCATTTTTTCCTAACCTATCCACCTGGTTCAAGGCACATAGATTAAGAAGGAAAATGGAAATGGGACTAATATCCCAGGCTTCACTGTCCCTCTTCGGGGCCCTGGGGAGGAGACTCCCAAAAGTCTAGACATGTTCACCCACATCCTGTATGTGGTTTCTGGAAACGAAATGATCATGGCTTTTCCTGAACCATGGCTTAACTTTGTGAATCCACAACTCTCTCTTCCCCAGGAGATCCAAAAAGGTAGGGTAGGATGTAAAGGCTTCAATCTGTTCAAGTGGATATGAGACTCCCTGGCTCCCCTTACAATAAGTAGCATGGATTTTGTCTCTCTGCCTTACTTCCTCCAAACATTCTGAATGAGAAGTGTTCAAACCACTATTTGTTCAATTGCTTAATCTACTTTGGGACACAAGTTTAATAAATTAAAATATTCTTCTATCTGTTCCCCTTGATCAGTGAACATAAAGTTATCTTTTGACTCATATTTAAAATGTTCAGTATTACAACACTGAACAATAGTATGGAGGAAAAAAAATGCCAACTTAAGTTTGAACTTGCTTCACCATTCCTATCCCAACCCCCATGATTAGAAAATCAAAAAGAACACTTTGAGAAATAACCTCAGTGGGGTCAAAAGCCAGAGGAGCCTCCAGGATCCCTTGTTCCTAAGACAAACAGGCAGGAGGAGGTGCACATATAGGATTGCAGCTGTTCTTCACTTCATTTGTTCACATACTTCATACTTGTGTTTATGTCTGTTGGCAGTGCAATAGAAAATGATTTCATTTTTGGTGGTATACTAGAAGGCATTAAAAAACAAAATAAGGCCGGGTGTGCTGGCTGTAATCCCAGCACTTTGGGAGGCTGAGGTGGGTGGATTACCTGAAGTCAGGAATTCAAGACCAGCCTGGTCAATGTGGTGAAGCCTGTTTCTACTAAAAATGCAAAAATCAGCCGAGTGTGGTGGCAGGCACCTGTAGTCCCAGCAGCTAAGGAGGCTGAGGCAGGAGAATCTCTTGAATCCGGGAGGTGGAGGTTGCAGTGAGCCAAGATCGCACCATTGCACTCCAGCCTTGGCGACAAGAGTGAAAATCTGTCTCAAAAAAAAAGAACAACAACAACAGCAACAACAAAAATCCCAAATGATATTGAAGTCATTAATAATTACATCATAATCACTAGTATAATGTAATAGTGCATCAAGTATCTTCAAAAGCACCCACTGTTCTCTCACTATTTATTTGATCTTCATTTGTCACTGTTTTGTTGTTTGAATAAAGCTTTATGTTGCCAGGTTTTCTTACATACTCATAAAGCAAAGTTCTCAGCTATACCAATAACCATGACTGTTATTTGACATTGCTTCATTCCTTCATGTATAGTACTATCAAGTTTGACCCTACCCTCACTATGACTAGTTTCACCCAACCATCTATCACAACAGAGAGTCTAACGTGAAGTAAAATAAATGTCATAAATTATTCCAAATTTATGGCACACTGTGAACAGTTTGAGACATACTAATTGAGAATTGCTGACTTTAGTATTTTAAGTATAAAATGAGTGTTCAATTCTTTTTGATCAGCCTGGATTTCCTTTGGTTCTAGTTATGTATCCCCTTCCTTCCTTCCTTCCTTCTTTCCTTCCTTCCTTCCTTCCTCCCTCCCTTCCTTCCTTTCCTTCTTTCCTTCTTTGCTTTCTTTCTTTCCTTTTTACTTTCTTTTTTTTTTTTGATACAATGTCTTGCTTTGTTGCCCAGGCTGGAGTGCAGTGGCATGATCAGCACTCACTGCAGCCTCAACCTCCCTGACTCAAGCGATCTTCATGCCTCAGCCTCCTGAGTAGCTAGGACTACAGGAATGTGCCACCACGCCTGGCTTTTTTATAAATTTTTTGTACAGACAGCTTCTCACTATATTGCCCAGGCTGGTCTCGAACTCCTGAGCTCAAGCAATCCTCTTGCCTCAGCCCCCCAAAGTGCTGGAATTACAGGGGTGAGCCACTGTGAAGGGCCTAATTTGGCCTTCTTTAATGAATCTTATTGATAAAAGCCCATCCATGCATCCATGCATCCATACTTTTAAGGCAAAGAAATACATACAACAGGACTGTATACACACATATACATGTATATATATGACAGCTTCCCTGCACTCAAGAACTTTGTGCTATCTTTTAAAAAATGAAATTTATAGGAAAAACTACAATTCATCTTAGATTTGCATAAAAAAGTGTCATAAGGTAATAAAGAAGAGAAAGCTCATCCAATTGAGAATGTATGAAAAAGAAAGTCAAAAAGTCCCAAGAAGAATGTGAAACTTGGGAAAGTGATAGATAGTCCTTTGATGAGTGTAAAAAGTCCCTCTGAATCCTATAAGAGTGTAATCTCTGGAAGTAGTAATTTAATTGGGTAGTTGACCTGTGTCTTTAGAATGTAACATTCCTTATTTTTTGCCTCTAGATACCGACTCATTGGTTCCTCGTCTGCCACATGCATCATCTCAGGTGATACTGTCATTTGGGATAATGAAACACCTATTTGTGACAGTGAGTTGAAATATCCCTTCCTATTTCTTTTACCGACACATTCTAATTTTTCTCTGGAATAATAAAAATCTTAACTGAATTCCTTCTGTGCAATCTGTCCTTCACACGGCTGAAGACTGCGGTAATGTTCTCGAATATTCCTATGGGGTTCCTGGCAACTCTTTCTTTAAGTTCTTCCTTATCCTGGGATGTGTCTTTTCTAATTCCAGAAGTTTAAATACATAAAAGCCTTCAAACTTGATTTTACTTCAATAAACGTGAAATTATGTTGTTTCTACCACCTCCAGTATAATAATCATCTTGCTTGGCAAATCAGTAAAGATTTTTAAAATTGATACTCTTCAAGGTTAGCGAAGCTGTGGAAGAACCTGGACTCTCATGTACCACGAGATCAACACATCCTCTTGAAAGGCCCCATGCACTATAAACCTCAGAAGTGAACATATATTTTAACCTACTTCTTAAAATTTATACTTAGGAAATAATCACACACTTTTTAAAGTAGTTTGGTATAAACTTTTCATTGCAGCATTATTTATATTAGTTAAAATGTTAGAGTAACCTAAATATTTTAAACTATGGTTTGGAAATAATCTACTAGTAGGAAAAAGATGTGTTCAAATGACCATTATAAAGAATTCCCTAAGAAACATAAAACAGCTATGCAGAATGAAAATAAGTATATCCATACACTGGCATGGTATTCAGCCATAAAAAATGACAGCATAAAGAAGCACTTAATGACTAGAAAGAGATGTATTTTATGTGGAAAAAGAATCAGATGAATGGCATATATGGCAAGATCTCACTTTATTAAAAAATAATACACCTATGTAGTGAGGGCCAGGCTGAGGCTGAGAGAAATACAGTGTATAACATCTTTGTCTTACTCTTCTCTTTGGATAACTGGACTCCTTTACTTTTCTTCTTGGTATTTAAAAATGTTACTTTTACTAGAAAGTTTAAGAGCTTCAGAATCTAAGTTTACAAATGACATTGGTCACACATTTATTGCTGTTTATCCACTTTAAGAAACAGTTTTGCTATTTTGTAAAACAAATTGGGAAACCTTCCATCTTATTTGAAATCTGTAATAAACATGGAATTGGAATAGGAATTTTCCTGGAAATATGAAAAAGATTAGTAAAATAGAGAAAACAAAAAATATAATAATACACCTATACCTGTATTTATTTTTTATCTCTGTTTCTACTTCTGTAACCTCTCTGTATCCAAATCCTGGTAAATGGCCTCAAGTCTTCTTGGAAAAGGCTAGGGGAAGATTTACAATACATGCTTTTGATTGTGTAGCATGGTGCTTCCTCAAGAGAATCCAGTCTCCCATCCGTTGGTGCTGCTCTGGGTCTATAAACTATTCAAGTCTAGGAATTGTTGATGAACAATGAACTTCTTTTGCAATAATTCAAGTCAGACTTCTATTCACTTGACCTAAAACTCTTACACTTATACAAATCAAGTAACACTTTAGTCGGCTATCCGTCTACTTTGGTTTTAGAGACTCCATGATCAATTAGCCCAATAACAATGTCCTCTTCAATCAAATCATTCTGATTGCTGTTTCAGCTCAAATATGCATTACAAGAACCCCCATTGTCTCTGGCAATTAAGTGCTGCCACTGGGACTCTGCCACCCTGAGGTCCTTTGGTCCCCAAGTGAATTCAGAGAATCCAGTTCAATGGCAACAGTTCCCATTGTCATTCCTGGCCTACAGAGAATGAACCGTTGCAGAGGATGCTGAAACTCCCCATGTGAATGTATTTCTCAAGCCTCTGGTAAAAGGTCTGTCTTCTGAACCCTCTACTCCTGCACTGTGCCTCACCAGCTCTATCCAAGGATACAACTTTCAGAGTGGAATGGCTGTTGCTTAACTTCTGCCTCTCAAATATCAGGCTAATTTCTCATGCTATAACCCTAGTCCAGAACCGTACAGAGAAAGTAAGTCTGGAAAACTTAATTCCAAATTGGCCTGGTTGACATGGTGCCAAACCACCAAATAATTATAATTTTATTTAACTCTTTGTCTTCTTTTCTTTCTTTCCTTCCCTCCCTCCCTCCTTTCCTCCCTCCCTCCCTCCCTCCCTCCCTCCCTTCCTTCCTTCCTTCCTTCTTTCCTTCCTTCCTTCCTTCCTTCCCTCTTTCCTTATTTTCTTTCTTCTTTACCACGCTGGCTAGGACCACCAGTATAACATTGAACATTGGTAGCAATAGATGTCATCCTTGTCTTGTTCCACATCTCAAAGTTAAAGTTTAAAACATTTCACCATTAAGCTGGTGTTTACTGTAGGCTTTTGGTAGATAACCATTTTTGAAATAAGGAAATTATCTTATATATTCTTCATTGCTAAAAAATTTATGTCTTTGAATCATGTTGAAGTTTATCAAACACTTTAGTTACATATATTGATGTAATCATATCTGTTTCTCTTTTTCTGTTAATGCAACAAATTGTTTTGAGTACATTTTTGAAAGGCAAATGATTTTAAATTTCAATTTTACATTCTTAAAATAAATCAACTCAGTCATAATATTTAATCATTTTTATATATGGCAAATATGCTTTTATGATATATTTTAGATGTTTCTATTAAAATATAATTCATGTATCATAAAAGTTACCTTTTTAAATTATACAATTTAGTGGTGTTTAGTATATTCACAAAGTTGTGTGTTATGGTCTGAACGTTTGAGTCCACCCCAAATCCATATGTTGAAATCCTTACCCCTAAAGTGATGACATTAGGAAGTGAGGCCTTTGAAAGATGATTAGGGCATGAGAGCAGAGCCATCACGAATGGGATTAGCGTCCTAATAAAAGAGGCCCGGAAGAGCTCCTTTGGCCCTCCCACCATGGGAGGAGATGCTGAATCTGCCAGTGTTGGTCTTGAACTCCCCAGCCTCCAAAACTACAAGAAATAAATTTCTGTTGTGTACAAGCTAACCAGTTTATAGTATTTTGTTATAGCAGCCCAAATAGACTAAGACATTGGGCAACCAGCACCGCCAATTAATTCTAGAACACTTTCATCATCCCATTCCTAACATATTTTAGAGATAAGACTATAATTTTCTTTCTTGTAATGTCCTTAATAAGATTTTGATATCAAAGCTATGACAGTCTTATAAAGCCAGCTGGTAGTGTTTCATATATTTGTTTCCTTGTAAGGGTTTATATAAGATTGGCATTATTTCTTCTTTAAAAATAATTCACCAGAAAAGGTATGTGGCCTGGAGTTTACGTTCTTGGGAAGTTTTTTTTTTTCCAACCATTTTCCTGTACCATGTAGACTTTTGGCTGAAGTATAACATATATATATATATACACACACACACACACACACACACACACACACATATATACATATATACTTATATGTATATATGTATATATACGTATATACGTATGCATACGTGTATGTATATGTGTATATATGTACGTATATATACATACGTACGTATATATACGTGTATACGTATATATACATATACATATATAGGTATATACATATATACGTATATATACATATACATATATAGGTATATACATATATATACGTATATATACATATACATATATAGGTATATACGTATACGTATACATATATAGGTATATGTATACATATATACACACTATATATATATACACATATATATAGTGTGTATATATGCACACATCTTAATCATGCAGTTCAATGGAGTTTTACAAAGTAAATGTATCCATGTAAACGTCACTCAGATTAAGATATAGAACATTATCAGCACCCCAGAAGCCTTCCCGATGCCCTTTCCCAGTTATCTTCCCAAAGAAACCACTATTCTGATTTATAACACTAATAGTTTTGTTGCTTCCTAAATTTTATATTAAAGGAATCAAAAAATAGATACTCTTTTGTGTCCAGCTTCATCTCAATGTTATATTTGGAAGAGTCATTTTTGTTTTTGCAGGAAGGATTGTTGGGTCTTCTTTATTATTATGTTGTATTTCATTGATGATCTTGAGTACCTTTTCACGTTTGTGAAGTGCTATTCCAAACTTTTGCCTATTATTTATTAGTTTGTCTATTGTTTTGTAGAAGTTCTTTAAATATTCTCATGTTTTCTAATAAATGTAACACAAATATTGTCTTTCAGGCTGTGGCTTTTCTTTTTTCCTTCTTAATGATGTCTTTTGTTTATGAAAGTTCTACATTTTAATAATATTCAATTTAGGAGTCTTCTTTTTTCCAGTTACTGCTTTTTCTATTCTACTTAAGCAATTGGGCCAAGTGAGGTGGCTCATGTCTATAATCCCAGCATTTTGGAAGGCCAAGGCAGGAGGATTGCTTGAAGCCAGGAGTTCAAGACCAGCCTGGGCAGCAGAGTGAGACCCTGTCTCTACAAAAAAAATAAATATATAAAATTAGCTGGGCTCAGTGGCACATGCCTGTAGTCCCAGCTACTTGGGAGGCTGAGGTGGGAGGATCCCTTGAGCACAGAGGTTCAAGGCTTCAGTGAGTTATGATGGTGCCACTGCACTCCAGCCTAGGTGACAAAGCCCTGTTTCTTATGGATGGGCAATAGATCTAATATCATCTATTAAAAAGACTATTCCTTGCATAGTGCAATGCGACACCACCATGACCATAAGTCAGGTGACCTTATGAGTGGATCTCATTCCAGAGAGGTTCTGTTTCACTGGTTTATTTGCCATACTATAAGCACTACATTAAGATTTTAATTACTATAGCATTACATTAAGATTTGATATCTGGTAGCATATATCTCCTAACTATGTGCATCTTCAAGATTTACTTGGTGATTCTTGGCCCTTTGCATTACCATATAAAATTTAGAATCAGCTTGTCAATTTCCACATAAAGAATCCTACTTGAATTTGTATTAAGTTTCTGTTGACTCAGTAGATCAATTTGTGGACAAGTAACAAATTTACAGTTTTGAAGTTTAAATTTATGAATATGATATATCCTCCCATTTTGAAGTCTTCTTTAATTTCTTTTAATAATATTTGTTAATGTACATTATAGAAGTCATGTACCTATTTCATTATCTTTATTCTGACATATTATTTTTAAAATTTCATTCTTTAATTATTTACTTCTTAGATATGCACCTGTTTCATCTCAGCTCCAGCAAATTTGTTAAATTTACTTATAAATTGAATAGTTTATCTGTAGATTCTTTTGAATTTGCTGTGTAATTATGTCATCTATGAATCTGACAAAGTTTTTACATCTTTTCCTTTCTTATGTCTTTTGTTTATTTCTCTTGCTTTATTGCATTGGCTAGAACCTCCAGTACAATATTGAATAGAAGACATGATACAAGGCTTTTAATAGTCCTCATAAATCATGATGTATGCTGTAGATTTTTGCATGATATCCTTTATTAGATTAAGGAAACTCCCCTTTCTTTCTAATTACTAAAAGATTTATGAATGTTCTTTCTAATTGATCACTGCATGTATTGAGATTATCATGTTTCTTTTTCACTCTGTTAATGTAATATATTACATTGATTGATGTTTAAAAGACAAACGCTGAATTCCTAGAATAAACCTATGTTGCTTGTGATGTGTTATAGATGATTATCCTATGTATGGGGGATATGCGTGTGTGTGTGTGCAGGATTGCTCATATTTTTATTGTAACATTGTAACATTGATTTAATATTTAAAATCAGTCAAGGTAAACCTCACTTTGATCATTGTATCATCCTTTGGAAATATTGCTGGATTCAGTTTCATAATATTTTGTTCAGAAAATTTGCATTTATATTCTCAAGAGATCTTGGGTTATAATTTGCTTTTATTTTAATGTCCTTATCAGGTTTGGGCATCAAGATTATGTTGGCCTGATAAAATGTGTTAAAAATTATTTATTTTTTCTAGTGTCTGGAACAATTTGTGTAACATTATTTTTCCTTATATGTTTGGAAGAATTCAGCAGTGAAGCAATCTGGACCTGAGGGTTTGTTGTTGTTGTTGTCAGGATTTAATATCTTTAATAGCTGTAAAACTATTATTTTATATCTTATTGAATTAGTTTGGGTAAGTTATATTTTTCAAGGAATTTACTCATTTTATTTAGATTTCCTAGGTTATCAGCATAATGCTGTTTATTATAGTCTCATATTAGCCTTTGGATGCCTGTAAGTTCTGTAGTGATACCCTTACACTCATTAATTTCTGATATTGGTAATTTCTTTTGCTTCTTTTTCCTTGATTAGTTTTACCGGGGCTTTATCAATTTTACTAAGCTTTTCAGAAAAACAACTTTTAACTTTCTTGTTTTTTCTTTAGTTTATGACTATTTTCTCTTTTATTGATTTCTGCTTTAAGCTTTGTGTATTCCTCCAGTCCTAAATTCTTGATACTAATTAATTTGTTTCCAACCTTTATTTTTCTAATATGTACATTTAACCTATCAATTTTTCTCTAAAACTGTTTTATTTATTTCCAACAATCTTTATATTTTTATTATCATTGTACATAAAAGCTTTCTAATTTCACTTTTAATATCTCCTCTGACCCATAGGCTGTTTAGAAGGGCATTGCTTAATTTCTAAATATTTAGAGATCTTCTAGTTATCATTCTTTCATTAATTTAATCATTTGAGACATGGTTTATTGCCCAGAATATGGACGATTTTGGTAAAATGTTACATATGCACTTGAATGTACAGTTATTTTGCTTCATTTTCTAGAAATGTCATTTAGGAAAATGTGGTTTAGAACAGTCTTTTTTTCCCCCTCCACTTGTTCTCTCAGTTATGGAGAAGCATGTGTAAAATATCTGTATTAGTTTCCCAGGGCTGCTGTAACAAATTACCACAAACTTAGTGGCTTCAAAGAAGAGAAATTTACTCTCTTAACAGTTTGGAGGCCAGAAATCCAGTTAAGATGTCAATAGGATTGGTTCCATCTGCAAGCTGTTCTGTGCCTCTCTCCAGGCTTCCTTCCAGTGGCTGCTGGCAATCGTTGATGTTCCTTGGCTTGTAGATGCATCATTTCCTTCTCTGTCTCCATCTTCTCATCGCCTTCTCCTCTGTGTGTGTCCTTTGCTCTTCTGTCTCCTATAAAGACACTGGACATGGATTTAGAGGCCACCCTGGCAATCCAGAATGGTCACAGCTCGAGATCATTAACGTGATTGTATCTACAAAGACTCTCCAAACTGGGTCATATTCACAGGTTTCAGAGATCAGGACACAGATATTTTTTAAGGAGGACAGTGGTTATTCAACCCATTACAATCCCCAACTACAACTATGAATTTGTCTGTCTTTCCTCTTTGTTCTAGCAATTTTTACTTTATGTATTTTAAACATGTTATTAAATGCATGAAATTTTTGGTTTATTCTTTCTGCTGAATTGACTATTTTATCATAATGAAATGTCTCTCTTTACCTCTCATAATACTTCTTACCTTAAAATCTACTTTGCATATTAATACAGCTATATAAGCTTTCTTTATTGTTTTTATATTATATGTGTTTTAAATCTTTTACTTTCAGCCCTTCTTTGTCTTATATTTAAAGCTTGTCTCTTATAAACATCATATAGTAAGGTTTTGTTGTTTTATTCAGTCTTAGTTGTTCATTGGTGTGTTTGGAACATTAAAATTTAATAATAAAAATTAAAAATAAATAAATTTAATATAGTTACTGATATAAAGTCTAAGTCTTGGTATTTGTTTCATGTGTTTGTTCCTTTATTCCTCATTTCTCACATTTTTTAATTCATCAAGTATTTTTATTATTCTATTTCCCCAGTAGCTTTTAAGTTATATTCCATTTTTTATTCTTAAATGACTACTCTAGAGATAGACATCCTTGATTTACTATAGTCTGCTAAAATTGTACTTTTACCACTCTCCAAACAACGCAAGTACCGAAACTATTAATAGTTAATTCCATTTATGTCCTCCCCCTCTTTTTGTATTGTTGCCATACGTTTTGCAAAAAGAAAAGCTTCAGCTGAATTAAATTTAAAAGAGTTTAATTGAGCAATGAACGATTCGCAAATCAGGCAGCCTCCCGAGCCAAAGTAAGCGCAGAGACTCCAGCCCAGCTGCAATGGGGGAAGAGGATTTACCGACAGAAAAAGGAAACTGACGTACAGAAAACAGAAGTGAGGTACAGAAACAGCCGATTGGTTATAGCTCAGCGTTTGCCTTATTTGAAAACAGTTCAAACAGTTGGCCACATTTGATTGGCCAAAACTCGGTGATTGGCGTAAGAGTAGTCTGCGGTCTGTTTACATCTTCACTTGTTATAGTTTGCAGTTTACAGAGAAACCTTTAGGCTGAGCTTAAACTACGTAAGGCTTTAGGCTAAACTTGATTTAACGATTTACATATATTCTATATTTCAAAGACACTGTTGTCTTTATAAAAACAGTATTTATTTATATTTACACCTTAGTGAATTCTTAGAATTTTTATGTTGCCTCAGCATCCATTTAGAATATGTTTAGCTTTCTCATGCCAGAAGCAGGGCTTAGTCACCCTTAATGCCCTTTCTAGTTCTGTACCTCCTCCCAATTTTGCAACGTGGTCGAGCCAGATATCTGCCTTATACAACTGCCTCCTGGTGACCACCTCTCTATGGGACAGCTAGATAAAACCTACTTGACTAGCGTCCCTGACCTCTGTGCCCTGCATGGACTTCGCAGATATGCTGCCGTGACCACCTCTCAGTCGCAGCACGACTGCCTGGAACATGTGCCTGCTTTCTTTAAACTCACCAATTAGAACTCCCCATGGGAGATACCTTGGCTTGTAGATGCAAGATGCTGGGTCATACTCTGGTCCCCAATAAAGGCATTGGCTGATGGGTCCCCTTCTCTCTGTCTGTCTCCTCGCGCTGACCAACCTCTGTGTGATCTTCAGGCGTGCCATACCCCCAGCCCGTAATAAAATCTTTACTGCCATCTTGTGTTTCTTGTAATGACTGAAGAGGTTTTCTCTATCATAAAGATCCTAAATGAAAACATACCCGCATATGAGCTCTTTCTGGTGTGTTTCCTTCTTATTGCAATTCTGTCAATTCTATATGAAACTATTTTCCTTCAGCCTGAAAAAGTCTCTTTGGCATTTTTGTATTGTAGAGCTTCTGACAACAAATTCTTTAAACATTTTTCTAAGTGTGGTTCCTCTGAAGGTTATTGTCCATGTTTCCTGGCTGCTTTTAAAATGGATTACACTTTAAAACAGATTTTTTACAATATTATTGTGTTGTGTCTAGGTAAGAATTTCTTTGTATTGCTTGGGTTTGCACATTTTTTTTTTTTTGGTTGTTTTTTTTTTTTTTTTTTTTTTTTTGACAGAATTTCACTCTTATCACCTGGGCTGGAGTGCAGTGGTGGGATATCTCGGCTCACTGCAACCTCCGCCTCCGGGGTTCAAGTTATCCTCCCACTTCAGCCTTCCAAGTAGCTGCAATTACAGGCCTGTGCCTCCATGCCTGGCTAATTTTTACCCTTTTAGTAGAGATGGGTTTTCACCATGTTGACCAGGCTGGTCTCAAACTCCTGACAAGAGGTGATCTGCCCACCTCGGCCTCCCAAACTGCTGGGATTACAGGCATGAGCCACCGTGCCAGGCCTGTATAGCCTTTTGAACCTGTAATTTAATGATGTCTTGCATCAGTCTTGGAAAATTCTCAGTTATTAATTCTTCAAATGTTGTTTATGCTCAGTTCTCTCTCTCTTCTCATCGAGGGACTTCAGTTAAACATGCTAGGCTTTATTCTTCTATGTATTTAGTCTGTATTTTTTAATCTTTTTATATATTGGTGCTTGGTTTTGAGTATTTTCTTCTGTCCTAGCTTCCGGTTCATTGATTTTCTTTCAGAGTCTAACCTGCTATTAATCTCACACAAATTCTTAATTTCAGCAATCATATTTTACTTTTACAATTCTAGACTTTTTATTTTCCAAATCTGCCCTCTTCCTTTTTTTTTTTTTTTTTTTTTTTTTTGAGACAGGGTCTCACTTTGTTGCCCAGGTTGGAGCACAGTAGCATAATCATAGCTCACTGCAGCCTCAACCTTCACAGGCTCAAGCAATTCTCCCACCTCAGCCACCTGAGTAGCTGGGAATGCAGGTGTGCACCACCACACCTACACATCTGGATAATATATATATATATATATATGTATATATACTTTTTTTTTTTTGTCGAGACAGGGTTTCGCCATGTTGCCCAGGCTGGTCTCAAACTCCTGAGCTCAAACGATCCACTCTCCTCAGCCTCCCATAGCGTTAGAATTACAGGCGTGAGCCACCACATCCCACCCTGTTCTTTTTAATAGTTTCTAGTTCTTACAAGTTTCAATTATACCCTTGAACAGGTCTGTAGTTCTAATGGGTCAGTTTCTGTCATCAGTAATTGTGTGTGTTATTTTATCTCTCCAAATATCTGGTTATCTTTGATTGTGTATCAGGAATTCTATTTGAAAACTGTGTCTGTAGAAATAATTTCAAGGCCTTAGATAACCCATCTTCTTCCAGATGGAATTTTTGTCATTGTTTCTGCAGGCATCTGGGGACATTAGCAATCTAGGACCACTCTAATTCAGTCTCAGGAACTGTGATTTTCCAGGGCCACCCACAGTACCAGTACTTGAAGTACTAGTTCCAGTCTCTGAGACAGCAAATTTATTTTCAGTTAACCCTGATTACCAGGGCCTAGTTCTTGTGGCCTCAGAACACATCAGAAGGTATTACCAGGCCTTCCATTTGGGGCAGGCCCTGGACTTCCATTGTTGTCCCTTAACTTCATGAGAAAATCAAAAGTCTGTTCAGCCTCTCAGTTGCCCCGTCCTGATTCAGCTGCCCATTCCCAAACAATAAGCAGCCCAGTTGCCAAGCCCAAATACCCAGCTCTCAACTGGATTCTCATCTTCTCCTAGATCATGGCCCAGGAATGCTTCACTAGTTTGTTAGCTTTCTGATGCTTTAACAGATAAATATTTTTAATTCTCCAGTATTTCTAGCCTTTCTTGAGGGTGGATGGTTGGAGCAATATTTTATTTGAACTGTTGAGATTACTATTAGTAGAAGCAGAGCCTGAAAAATTTTTATTTTTAATTTTAATTCATTCATTTCTAAATTTATCCAATTAAATTCACTCAGTTTTAATTTCAAGTGTTTTGGGATTTGGGTTGAAGAAATTTTGTTCTAGTTTATAGCAACACAGTATACTATGTACTACTGCTATACTTTAAAATGTATTTAGGGGTTTTTGTGGACTAATATATGATCACTTTTACACAGATATCATCTTATGATATCAAACTTAGATTTGATGAAATGAGTTGGTAAGCTTCATATCTTTTATATGTTGTGAAACCTTGAAATTACATTTGGAAGTATATTTTTGAATGAATTTTGGTAATTTGTATTTCCATTTATATCATTTAGATTTTCAAAATATTTAACCCCCTGTAGTCTACAGTTTTATAAATATTCTCATATACATAAAAATATGTTTAAATTCTTTTTCCTACTGTGTATATTTGTGTTTTCTCTCATCCCTTATACTTTATCTTTTAGCAAATGTTTTTGTATTTTATTTTTCTAAAAAAGCTAACCTTGGTTAATAACAAAAATGGAAATTAAGAAAGCAAACGGAAAAGAGTAGGAGAAAACTGTATAAATACTATAACACTATGATCAAAGAGCTATTTAAAATGAAAAGAATGTGGATTGAGTTAATACATGCATGCAAATACTATAGGAAATCATATCAGTAAGAAAGGCAGGACACATCATATTATGCCCATTGAAGCTACAACTTTATAAAAATGTACCTATGTGTTAGCAAAGATTAAAAGCAAATAATGAATGTAAAAATAGCTATAGTTTAGTGACTCATGAGATTTCTGTCATTCATTATTTAAACTGACTGTTATTTATCCTGCTCTTCCTTTTTCCAGGAATTCCTTGTGGGCTACCCCCCACCATCACCAATGGAGATTTCATTAGCACCAACAGAGAGAATTTTCACTATGGATCAGTGGTGACCTACCGCTGCAATCCTGGAAGCGGAGGGAGAAAGGTGTTTGAGCTTGTGGGTGAGCCCTCCATATACTGCACCAGCAATGACGATCAAGTGGGCATCTGGAGCGGCCCCGCCCCTCAGTGCATTATACCTAACAAATGCACGCCTCCAAATGTGGAAAATGGAATATTGGTATCTGACAACAGAAGCTTATTTTCCTTAAATGAAGTTGTGGAGTTTAGGTGTCAGCCTGGCTTTGTCATGAAAGGACCCCGCCGTGTGAAGTGCCAGGCCCTGAACAAATGGGAGCCGGAGCTACCAAGCTGCTCCAGGGGTGAGTCTGACTGAGGCCTAGAAGGGCCCTGCCAGTGACATGCGTTGCTGTTGGATCAGGAGATTAGTATTTGTTCAGGGGGAGGGATGTGTGCTGAGCAGGGTCGAGGAGCAAATTTTCTAGGTAGTGAACATGAAATTCAGAAGGTGTGTGTACATGCACATGTGCTGAAATTGCGAAGCAAAGCTCAACCTGGGCAAGGGATATGATGTTTCTTTGGGGTTCTTATAAACAGATCTATCAATTACCTTTGAGTATAATAATGGTTGATACAAAATGAGTGATTCCTCTGGCCGGGCACTATAATACAGGCTACATGTGAATTTTAATCCTTAAAACAAAGTTATTAGGTAGTTACCAGTTGTTCTATGTTTGTCTGTATTGTTTTGCTTGAGATACTGTCTTGATCTGTCACTCACGTTGAACTGCTGTGGTGCCATCATGACTTACTTCAACCTCCGCCTCTCTGGCTCAAGCAAGTCTCCTGCCTGAGCCTCCCAAGTAGCTGGGAATATAGGTGCATGCCACCATGCCTGGATAAGTTTTTTATATATTTTTTGTAGGGATAGAGTCTCACCATGTTGCCCAGGCTGGTCTCGAACTCCTCAGCTCAAGCAATTCACCCACCTTGGCCTCCCAAAGTGCTGGGATTATAGGCATGAGCCACCGTGCCCGGCCTCTATGTTTTATAGAGAATATGTGCCTTAGACACATCAGATAACATTCTGAGACAGTAACTTGCAGACAAAACTGGATTGCAAGTCCACCTCACTCCAGAGCCTTGGCTTTGCTCATCAGCATTCAGTCATGAAATCAAAACTTACTCTAGATACTTTCAAGGAGGGAGGGATTTCATGCAGGTTGTATTAGTCTGTTCTCACATTCCTATAAAAAACTACTTGAGCCTGGGTAATTTATAAAGAAAAGATGCTTACTTGACTCAGAGTTCTGTAGGCTGTACAGGAGGCATGGCTAGGGACCCCTCAGGAAAGTTACAATCATGGTGGAAGGTAAAGAGGAAGCACGCATATCTTCATATGCTTGGCAGGAGAGAGAGAGAGAGCAAGGCAGAGGTGCTACACACTTTGGAACAAGCAGATCTCGAGAGAACTCTATCACAAGACAGCACTAGGGTGATGGTGCTCAACCATAAGAAACCACCTCCATGATCCAGTCACTTCCCACCAGGCTCCTTCTCCAACACTGGGAATTACCATTTGACATGAGATTTGGGAGGGGACATAGAGCCAAATCATATCGCAGCTAATAGGTCACAAAAATGTTAGAAGGGCAGGAAAAGCAATAGGACAAAGGCAAAGTTACGAGAGATCAGGGAGCTGCTGTGGCTCCCAGTCTACAGCACAGGAGCCTGGAGTGATGGTGAAATGGCCAGCCCCTCCCACTGAGCAGGCAGCTCCCTGTAAGCTGCTAGTGCTGCAGGAGCCACCACTGCTGCCAGAATGCAGCTGATATTGCTGGAGCCAAAGTCATTGGCATCGTTACAATTGAAGCTGTAGCTACTCACTGAAGCCATCTATACTGCCACTGCCTGAGCCACTTCTAGAAGTAGAACAGATTCTGCCATCATCCTGCTTTTTAATTTGGTATATATGCCTCCAATTGGCAGAACCTAACCAGAGCCCAGCTATCAAGGAAGATGAACAATTGTAGTTTTAAGGCTTCCTTTGCTAGCTGTCAAAAGACAGTGCAGAAGTGTGAGGCTGGGGGCCAACAGAAATTTAACCAGCACAGCACCTCAATATTACATCACCAGGCATTGATTAGTCCAGGGAAACACTGGGTGATGAGCCCTGAAAATGGACATTACAGCATCAGAGTATTTACAAACTCCCTAAAGAAGTCATTTTTCTATTCCAATCCCCCATTTGATGCTTGAGAAAGCTGAAGTCCAGAAAAGGGAACTGATCTGCTCAAAGACAAACCGAAATTATTTTTTCCATTTTATAACAGTTTTATGTAATTTAGTTGAGATCCAAATGTGTTCTGATTTCCTGAGTTCCAATCAACTATATTAAGAGAGAGCCAGCGCTGCCCTTACAATATGTTGCGTAAATATACACTCTCATCATGGTGACAGTAGGTCTTTCAGATTTTGTTCGACAGTTTCCCACCTTCTCACTGAAGTGAAATGAATGACTAGGCAGCACCTTGCTACATAGCATGAGGAGAGGAGACCCATAGTTCTTTACCATCCTATGTCAGGTGGCCGCTGAGAGAAGACTTGAAAGGAGATGAGCATAGATGTATGGACGCTCTTTGTTGCACCAGTGTGATAGGTGATGGAGGGACCTATTAGATGAGACATGGGCAGGGGCACTCCTTTATTGCTTAAAATGCAAGACTAAATTGGTGATGCCTTTCTAGAAAGGAAGTATGAAGATACGAAAATCCATCATTCCTCCCAATTTTGTACTGGGTGAACAGTAATTGGAAGCATTCTAGAAGGAACTGTCCATTGTGAAATCTTAGTTGCATACTTTAGATGAAAAACAATGAATTGGAGATACCTCTGTTTTAGTCACAGTTGTGCCACGTGTCAGTTCTATGACTGATGGCAAGACATCTTCCTTGCCCTGTGTATTTAGTTTATCAATGTAATAAGGCTGTTATTCTAACTTTATTATTATATATAGATTTGTAATTATTATTCCCTTGGCCAGTTTAACAGTGAGAAAAAAGTTGTTTTCACACAATTAGCTGTACTTTGTTTCTCTCTCCCCAGTATGTCAGCCACCTCCAGATGTCCTGCATGCTGAGCGTACCCAAAGGGACAAGGACAACTTTTCACCTGGGCAGGAAGTGTTCTACAGCTGTGAGCCCGGCTACGACCTCAGAGGGGCTGCGTCTATGCGCTGCACACCCCAGGGAGACTGGAGCCCTGCAGCCCCCACATGTGAAGGTGACTAGACTCTTATCTGGCTTGATATTTTTAGCTTGCGTCTTTATTCTCCACATGCCAGTGATTTCTGTTCGTTTTTCTTTATCTCCAGTGAAATCCTGTGATGACTTCATGGGCCAACTTCTTAATGGCCGTGTGCTATTTCCAGTAAATCTCCAGCTTGGAGCAAAAGTGGATTTTGTTTGTGATGAAGGGTGAGTATGAGCTTGCCTGACCTGCTGGACATTGAAATTGGGGTTGGGAATCAGTCTAAAAAGGGGAGATTTGGTGTGGCACACACACACACACCTTCAGAGAGATGAACTTTCGAAAGTATACCTAGGAAGAAAGGAAAGAAACATATAGAACTAATAACATGAGATATGAAGAGGAAACTGGAACATATATTAACTGGCAAGTTCAAAGGCAAGTATAACTACTGGTTATGAATATATAAGTAACACATTAAGCAAAAAATATCAGCCAGAAACGGTGGCTCACCCCTGTAATCCTAGCACCTTTGGGAGGTTGAGGCGGGCAGATCACCTGAGGTCAGGAGTTGGAGACCAGCCTGGACAACATGATGAAACCCTGTCTCTACTAAAAATACAAAAGTTAGCTGGGTGTGGTGGCATGTGCCTGTAATCCCAGCTATTCCGGAGGCTGAGGCACCAGAATCACTTGAACCTGGGAGGTGGAGTTTGCAGTGAGCCGAGATGGCACCATTGCACTCCAGCGTGGACAATAAGAGTGAAACTCCATCTCAGGAAAAAAAATCATATTTTACAAGCAAAAAGGAATATGAGTAATTTAGAGAGTCCCAGGAAAAAACTGGAAGTAACAAAAGCTTATTATAAAAAGCTAGGATCATTTGTGAATCATTTCAGTAAATTCTTTAAATCGTCAACAGTGAAATTTGTAATAGGACTGAAAATGTAAAAATCAGCATTTTTTAAAAAAATCCAGCCATATATCATCTGGTTAATCATGGGCTCTGGGCTCTGAGCTGGGGTCCTGATGGCTGCTGTTAATATTTCCAGCAAGCTCATTACCTTGTTTATGTCCACCTAGTGCTCTTCGCAGGGTGCACATCTCTACACGGGAGCTGACCGGCATGGGCAACAAAGCACCTGATCCCAAAATGTAACACAGAATCTTGGCAGCCTCCAAATGCCAGCACCCAGTAAGAGTTAGGAGGGCATCGGGGTCCAGCAGACATTGAGAATTTTCGACAATTGCATGCAAAAAATAAGTCCTCTCTTCTTTCCTTTTTCCCCTAGAATATTCATGCTTACTCTTCAGCAGCCCAAATTGCCCTTTTGAGCCTTCTTCACGCCATCACAGATGTGGAGATGAAAGGACAGTCTGTTCTCTCGCCAGCTATTTCCCACTTTTCCACTCCAAACTGGGAGCTGTTTTACTTGCTGTTCCAGGGTCAGAGTTAGGAAGGCATTACATTAGAAGACTGGGTTTCTAATAACAACAATGAGTGATTTATCAGGTTATCATGGAGTAATCAGTGAAACTCCAAGCCTGGGTCCTGGGTCAAGGGGATGGCGCCTATGTCATGACCACCTTTTTCAGTTCAAGCAGGACTATCATGTGACCAAGCTACTGCATTTTGCCATTCTATATTGTTCCCTTCTGGAGGCTGTGATTTTTCCAGAATAAGGTAGCCTGTGCAACTCTGCCACCTGCTGGCCTAAGGTCCTAATAATCCTGAAATTGGGGCTGGGCCTTAGATTGTGAACTAAGGGTTCTCTTGGCTGAAACAGCTCACACTATTCACTCCTATTTTCTTCTTTAGATTTCAATTAAAAGGCAGCTCTGCTAGTTACTGTGTCTTGGCTGGAATGGAAAGCCTTTGGAATAGCAGTGTTCCAGTGTGTGAACGTGAGTAGCAGGAGTAACATTTCAGGCCAGTCTCTCCCTTCATCTGTTCAGTATTTGACCCATGACCTCCCCTAATGTGGTTCTTCAATTTTCTAGTTTGAATTATTGATTTGAAAATTGCTTATTTTAATAATGTTTGGTTGTGAATCAAATGTATACATCACCTGTCTTTGGAACCATCTGATCTGTCTCTGTCCTTCTGTATTCTGTGTTCTAGTGCGATAAATCCTATGGTAGCATGATTCTAGGTCAGGAGAGATTAGATAATGTGAAGCCTTAACAATTTGCTTTCTTTCTCTCTTTCTTTTGTTTCTTTTTTCTCTTCCTTCCTTTCTTCAGTTCTTTCTTCCCTTCTCTTTCTCTCCCCTTTCTTCCTTCCTTCCTCCTTCTTTCTTTTCCATTTTGTTCTTCCATCAGGTGCAGTCTACAATTTTTGTATATATTTGATAATACACAAATATTAAACATGCCTTTATTTAATCAATATTTATTGATCACATACTTTGTGCCTGATGTTCATCTAGCCACAGGAGTTATATCAGTGAACAAGATGAATGAATTCCCTGTCCCCATGTTGTTTCCACTCAGTTGGGGAAAGGGACAAGAAAAAAAATAAATACGATGCTATGAAGATAGTAGAGCAAAGCATTTAGGCATGAGGGAAAAGTGAGGAGCAACATTAGACAAGGCGAGCAGTTTGAGACTCCTTAAATTCTCAAAACATGTACCTAAATAATTTATGCTGAGAGATTCATAAATAATGTCATTTTTAAAAATTTATTATACTTTTAAGTTCTAGGGTACATGTGCACAACGTGCAGGTTTGTTACATATGTATACATGTGCCATGTTGGTGTGCTGCACCCATTAACTCGTCATTTACATTAGGTATATCTCCTAATGCTATCCCTCCCCGCTTCCCCCACCCCACAACAGGCCCCGGTGTGTGATGTTCCCCTTTTTGTGTCCAAGTGTTCTCACTGTTCAATTCCCACCTATGAGTGAGAACATGTGGTGTTTGGTTTTTTGTCCTTGTGATAGTTTGCTGAGAATGATGGTTTCCAGCTTCATCCATGTCCCTAAAAAGGACATGAACTCATCAATTTTTATGGCTGCATAGTATTCCATGGTGTATATGTGCCACATTTTCTTAATCCAGTCTATCATTGATGGACATTTGGGTTGGTTCCAAGTCTTTGCTATTGTGAATAATGCAGCAATAAACATATGTGTGCATGTGTCTTTATAGCAGCATGATTTATAATCCTTTGGGTATATACCCAGTAATGGGATCGCTGGGTCAAATGGTATTTCTAGTTCTAGATCTTTGAGGAATCACCACACTGTCTTCCACAATGGTTGAACTAGGTTACAGTCCCACCAACAGTGTAAAAATGTTCCTATTTCTCCACATCTTCTCCAGCACCTGTTGTTTCCTGACTTTTTAATGATAGCCATTCTAACTGGTGTGAGATGGTATCTCATTGTGGTTTTGATTTGCATTTCTCTGATGGCCAGTGATGATGAGCATTTTTTCATGTGTCTGTTAGCTGCATAAATGTCTTCTTTTGAGAAGTGTCTGTTCATATCCTTCACCCACTTTTTGATGGGGTTGTTTTTTTCTTTTAAATTTGTTTGAGTTCATTGTAGATTCTGGATATTAGCCCTTTGTCAGATGAGTAGATTGCAAAAATGTTCTCCCATTCTGTAGGTTGTCTGTTCACTCTGATGGTAGTTTCTTTTGCTGTGCAGAAGCTCTTTAGTTTAATTATATCCCCTTTGTCAATTTTGGCTTTTGTTGCCATTGCTTTTGGTGTTTTAGACATGAAGTCCTTGCCCATGCCTGTGTCCTGAATGGTATTGCCTATGTTTTCTTCTAGGATTTTTATGGTTTTAGGTCTAACATTTATGTCTTTAATCCATCTTGAATTAATTTTTGTATACAGTGTAAGGAAGGGATCCAGTTTCAGCTTTCTACATATGGCTAGCCAGTTTTCCCAGTACCATTTATTAAATAGGGAATCCTTTCCCCATTTCTTGTTTTTGTCAGGTTTGTCAAAGATCAGATGGTTGTAGATGTGTAGTATTATTTCTGAGGGCTCTGTTCTGTTGCATTGGTCTATATCTCTGTTTTGGTACCAGTACCATGCTGTTTTGGTTACTGTAGCCTTGTAGTATAGTTTGAAGTCAGGTAGTTTGATGCCTCCAGTTTGTTCTTTTGGCTTAGGATAGACTTGGCAATGCAGGCTTTTTAAATAATGTCATTTTTAAAAAATGAGCCCCATATGTTCAATAATGAGTAGACTACTGATTTCTCCTAGTCTCCCCATTTATAATTTCCCCAATAGAAGATAGAACTTTGCTTCATTTCTTGATTCTAATGATTGGGAAATGTGTTTCTTTAGAAAACCATGAAATTTTACTAAAATGTTTATGTTGTTAGAAATGGACATCTTACAGTGCTTTTTAGAGTAAAATTTTGGAAGAACATAACTTATATAGAGATTCTTGCTGTCTAAGAAATTCAGTGCTCCTTGAAGCAGCATGACAAATTTCTGTTCTACCATCATGAATGAAAGCTCATTGATTGGACTACTCAAGCTTTCTCTTATTTTTCATAACTGTTGCTAGTTAAAGTAGCTTCTTCCAAATTCCAGTTCTAATGAAAAATGCCAATTAGAAATGAGGAAGAAACTGTTCTAAACAAATCAGCAGATGCTAGAAAGGAGAAACAACTTGAAACCTGACCCAGAAAGTTAAAAGAGAAAATAAATCATCAACAGACCTAGACATTTTCAAAAGCAAAGCCATCTGAATCCATTTGGAGTTGTTTTTTATCATGGCCTTACTATGTTTTAATTCACTGTGACAGGGCTATTGTTATCACTGAGATTGATGATCAATATCAAGAAGTAATCAGCGAAAGGTTTCACCTATTTAAGATGATTAGCACACATATGTACATTTGAGAAATATTTCCTAAGAATGCAGGCTCCTTCCTCAGCACTCTGTCCCCAGGATCCTGATGAGTGGCTGACACAGGACAAGTGCTTAATTAATATATATTGACTAAATGAATGAGCAACCCTTCAAAATGGCTATTTTTCTTTTTCAAATGTTTTGCTACTTCATTAAAGTTGTAAAGTTTCCATTGTCCAGGAACCGTTACTATCCGGAAGATTCAGGATAGACAAGTCTCTTTTGTACTTTGCAATACACTTTCATTGATATCTCATTTAATCCAACTCTTCAAAGTCCTAATGTCTACTGTCATCTCCTTAGCATATTTTCAGCAACACCAATCATAGCACCCTGTAATTGCAGAATACCTCTGGTGAAACTCCTGAATGAAACTTAGAGCTTTCATGTTTTTTCTAGAAATCTTTTGTCCAAGTCCTCCAGTTATTCCTAATGGGAGACACACAGGAAAACCTCTGGAAGTCTTTCCCTTTGGGAAAACAGTAAATTACACATGCGACCCCCACCCAGACAGAGGGACGAGCTTCGACCTCATTGGAGAGAGCACCATCCGCTGCACAAGTGACCCTCAAGGGAATGGGGTTTGGAGCAGCCCTGCCCCTCGCTGTGGAATTCTGGGTTAGTGCTCATTTCCCCACATCCCAAATGGGTTCAGAATATCTAACCCAGGCCCTCCATATTTCCGTAATTACAATGTGGTATTTATTTGTGCATTTGCCACAATGGAATGCCAAACCAATGATAGATGGTTCTAAGGTAGGTCAACACATAAGATCCTGATGACCTTTGCAGATGGAGGGACTGATGAAAAAAGAGGGAGGCGGTGAGTGGTGGGAAAGTCCTTCATTAGAATCATATGAATTAAAAACAGATGCCTGTGAATCTCCTTATTGAAATGTTTGGTTTAGAAATCTGACCTAGAAAATCGGTGGCTCCTTCTGCCAGGAAACGTCTTGAGTTCCCGCCCATGCTTGACAGCCTCTCATTGGAGTTTTGATGACTTGAAGTACAAGGAAACCAGACAGGAAAGGTGGAACCTGGGCAGAAAAACTCTTTCTGGCTTCCTAAAAATGTGAAAAATTAAATGGGAGCTATCTTTACATTAAATTATATGAGCATTAGCTGAGCGTGGTGGCAATTGCCTGTGGTCCCAGCTACTCGAGAGGCTGAGATGGGAGTATCCCTTAAGCCTGGGAGGCAGAGGTTGCAGTGAGCCAAGATTGTGCCACTGCACTCCAGCCTGGGTGACAGAGCGAGACCCTATCTCAAAAACAATAAAAATAGGCATTAGGAGGCCAAGGCTGGTGGATCACTAGAGGTCAGGAGTTCCAGACCAGCCCGCAAACACAGTGAAACTCCAACTCTACTAAAAATAGAAAAAAAATTTAAAAACAAAAATAAATTATATGAGTAGAAAGACCAGATAGCAGGCTAGTCTTCCAAATAATATACTTCCTTATAAGCCTATGCTAATGGAACTTTCCTTTCTATTTTACAGGGAAGTTTTTTTTTTTTCATAACTAAAATTTTCTTTTCTTCTGGCATCAAATCTACCAAGGAAGAGAAAAGAGGAAACACACTGGGTATCTTTTTATTAACTCAAATATTCTTGATTTCTTGGTCTCTAGGTCACTGTCAAGCCCCAGATCATTTTCTGTTTGCCAAGTTGAAAACCCAAACCAATGCATCTGACTTTCCCATTGGGACATCTTTAAAGTACGAATGCCGTCCTGAGTACTACGGGAGGCCATTCTCTATCACATGTCTAGATAACCTGGTCTGGTCAAGTCCCAAAGATGTCTGTAAACGTGCGTAAACTTGCGTTGGATCTTTCCCATGTCTGCAAAAGCTTCTTATGGAATTATTTCAAATGTGGGATATGAGAAACCTTTTCTGAAAAGTGTTCGGATAGATGGATGTAAGAGTTTTTCTTGTAGGCATCCTTGATTGTTGCTTGAAATGTTAACTTCATGAGAATGTTTCAAGAAATAGTTGTAGAGAAAATCTTCATTCCCTATGGGAAAGAAAATAATAAATGACTAGATCAGGAAAAAAATGGTGTAGGAAGACAAATTCTGTTTGAATAACTAGGTGGGAAGAAATCCTTTGCAAACTTTGAAATATATTGATAGTAAATAATGCCATAAATGACCTTTACATTTTGATAAGGGATGCAAGGTCTCTACACAGATCTAAATCTAGATCTAGATAGATCTGGAGGGAAGGTCTTTTTGAAAGTGGGGCTTAGTAGGTGGCTGATCCTCAGCGCTCTGATGAGTTTTCTCAAGGTGCCAAAATCTGTGGAACCATCAGAGCCGCGTGTTTTCTTCAGGAAGCTACATGCAGGTTGAGACCTTACGTACTGAAGAGAGTTCAGATTACTCTACCTGGCTCCAAAACATTTTCTTTCCCACAGGTAAATCATGTAAAACTCCTCCAGATCCAGTGAATGGCATGGTGCATGTGATCACAGACATCCAGGTTGGATCCAGAATCAACTATTCTTGTACTACAGGGTGAGTTGGCAGCAACATCTCTTGGTTTAAGAGTTCCAGCACAGCGATAGTACTTTCTAGCCACATCTCAGCAAGGAAACTAGGCTATTGCCACCTGCTCTTAAGAGGCTTGAACACAGGTGTTAACTCCTGATTGAAATGAACAAAGATAGGAGAAGATTAGGGGGAAAATCTGTATCCTTGCTGGAAACCAGGGCAGTGCACATATAAAGAGTATGCTGTTCACTGGATGGGAAGGAAAAAAACTTAGAAGTGTAGTAGTCAAAGCACACAAACAACCCTAACCCAGAGTAGACATTGCTGGAAGAAAGGGAAGACCATGTAGCAGCTGTGTGAGAGAATGAATCTTAATGATAACAGCATGATCCCTTGCTAGGGCTGCCATCAAAAAGTACAGGCCTTCCTCGTTTTATTGTACTTCGCAGATGTTATGCTTTTTACAAATTGAACGCTTGTGGGAACGCTGTGTAAGCATGTTCGTCGGCATCATTTATCCAACAGCGTGTGTTGACTTCGTGTCTCTGTGTAGCATTTTGATTATTCTCACAGTATCCCAGATGTTTTCATTATTATCATGTCTGTGATAGTGATCTGTCATCAGTGATCTTTGATGTTACTATTGTCATTGTTTGGGGTCCCTACGAACTGCACCCATATAAGACAGAAAACTTAATCAATAAATGTGCGTGCTTTGACTGCTCCATGGACTAGACATTCCCCTTCTGTCTCCCTCTCTTCAGGACTCCCTAATCCCTGAGACACAATAATACTAAAATGACTCCAATTAATAACCCTACAATAGCCTTTAAGTGTTGACATGAAGGGAAGAGTCATGCATCTCTTACTTTAAATCAAAAGCTAGAGATGATTAAGCTTACTGAGGAAGATACGTTGAAAACCAAGATAGGCCAAAAGCCATTCCTCATGTGCCAAACAGCTAGAAAGTTGTAAAGGCAAAGTAAAAATACTTGAAGGAAATTTAAAATGCTCTTCCAGTGAACACATGTATGATAAGAAGGTAAAACAGCCTTATTGCTGATATGGAAGAAGTTTTAGTGGTCTAGACATAAGATCAAACTAGAAACATTTCCTGAAGCCAAAGCGTAATCCTGAGCAAGGCCGTAACTCTCTTCAATTCTGTGAAGGCTGACAGAAGCTGGAAGCTAGCAGAATTTGGTTCCTGAGGTTTAAGGAAAGAAGCCCTCTCCATAACATAAAGGTCCAAGGTGAAGCAGCCAGTGCTCATATAGAAGTTGCAGCAAGTTATCTAGAAAATCTAGCTAAGATCACTGACGAAGGTGTTACACTAAATAACAGATTTTCCATGTAGACAAAACAGCCATCTATTGGACTTTCATAGCTAGAGAGGAGAAGCCAATACCTGGGTTCAAAGCTTCAAAGAACAGGCTGACTTTTTAGGAGCTAATGCCGCTGGTGACTTTGAGTTGAAGCCAATGTTCACCGACCATTCTAAAAATCCTAGGGCCCTTAAGCATTAAGTTAAATATACCTTGCCTGTGTCTATAAATGGAAGAACAAAGCCTGATGACAGAGGTATGTTTGCGGCATAGTTTACTGAATATTTTAAGCCCACTGTTGAGATCTAGTGCTCAGAAAAACAGATTCCTTTCAAAATATTACTGCTCATTGACATTGCACCTAAGCAGCCAAGAGCTCTAATGGAGAAGGACATGGAGATGAATGGAGTTTTCCTGCCTGCTAACAACAGCAGCCATTCTGCAGCCCATGGCTGAAGGAGTAATTTTGACTTTCAAGTTTCACTATTTAAGAAATACATTTTGTAAGGTGAGTCCCCACAGACAGTAATTCCTCTGATGGATCTGAACAAAATAAGTTGAAAACTGCTGGAAAGAATTCATCATTCTACATACCATTAAGAACATTCGTGATTCATGGGAAGAGCTTAAAATATCAACATTAATAGGAGTTTGGTAGAAGTTAATTCCAACCCTCATGGCTGACTTTGAGAGGTTCAAGACTTCAGCGGAGGAAATAACTGAAGATGTGGTGAAAATCGCAAGAGAACTACAATTAGAAGTGGAGCCTGAAGACGTGACTGAATTGCGACAAATTCATGATCAAACTTGAACAGATGAGGAGTTGCTTCTCATGAATCAGCAGAGAAAGTGGTTTTTTTGAGGTGGAGTGTCTTCCTGGTGATGATGACATGAGCATTGTGAAAATGACCACAAAGGATACAGAATATTACAAAAACTTAGGTGATAAAGCAGCAGCAGTATCGGGAGGATTAACTCCAATTTTGAAAGCAGTTCAGAGGGTAAAATGTTATCAAACAGCATTGCATGCTAGAAAAATCTTTTGTGAAAGGAAGAGTCCATCAATACAGCAATTTTATTGCTGTCTCAGCTTAAGAAATTGCCACAGCCACCCCAGCCTTCAGCAACCACCACCCTGATCAGTCAGCAGCCATCAACCTTGAGGCAAGACCCTCCACCAACAAAAAGATTACAAATTATTGAAGGTCAGATAATCTTTAGTATTTTCTTATCAATAAACCTTTTTTTAAAGTATGACTTTGTTTAGACATAATGCTATTTCACACTTAATAGACTACCGTATAGTATAAACACAACTTTTAGACTCACTGAGAAATCAAAAAATTCATCTGACTCATTTGTTGTGATATGTGTTTTATTGTGGTGGTCTGGAACTGAACCTGCAATATATTTGAGGAATGTCTGTAACACGAAGTGGGCGGCTTAATACAACAGAAGTTTTTGGAGTTCCATTCTAGAGACTGGAAATCCAAAATCAAGGTTTTGGGAGGGCCACGCTCCCTCTGAATCCTGTAGGGAAGGATCCTTCATTGCATCTTCCAGCTTCTGGAGCCACAGGCCTTCCTTGGCATGTGGCAGCAGAACTCCAATTTCTGTCTCTGTCCTCATATGGCCATCTTCCCTCTGGGTCTGTGTCCTCATATGCTGTTCTCTCTGTGCATGTCTGTTTCCAAAGTTTTCCCTTTTAATAAGGACACCAGTCACACTGGATTAGGGCCTACCTTCATGACCTCACCTTAACTTGATTGCGTCTGCAAAGATCGTATTTCCAAATAAGGTCACATCCACAGGGACTGGAGGTTAAGACTTCAGCATACTCAGGGGAGACACAATTCAACCTATAACAGAGCCCCTTTGAAAATGTCAGGCATCAGGTGCTCACAGCACACGGTCCAGCTGTTGGTGCTCACCCTTGCTCAGCACACGGTGGAGGCTCTGCCTCAATCTCATTCTTCATGGGAACAGCTAAGCCAGGTAGCGAATACGAGTTACGTTTGTGTCACCACAGCAGACACTGAAAGGAAGTTTGTGGTGTCCAGCACATTTGCCAGCATAGGCCTCACAGACCACAACACCTAGAATCTGACAAAAATTAGAATAAATCCGATGTCTCCTTTTCTCTCTTTTTTTAAGCATTTTTAAATACAATTGGTAAATTTCCTGACTGTACCCTACTCATCTTGCATTGCTGAATAAGTGAGGAACCTCTCTATGGCATGAAGCAGAAAACCATTGAGCTTATGAGAAGAAACAGGAAATACATGTAAAAGAGACCAGTCTGAAAAATCAGGAGAAATTTTACAAAAGAGATTTACTGCCAAGAAACCAGGGAAACTTTCAGAACACTCTCCTTTTCATATTTGTAACAAGATTCAATTGTACAAATACTTCTGTGAAACTAGCCATGAAGTGTGTACATGAATGAATATATGTATTCAGTGTGTTTATATATTTCATTTCATACATGTGATCTATATCATATATATATATATATATATATATATATATCACAATGAATATTGCAGAAAATTAAAGCAAAGAGTAAGAAGAGTTAACCAAATGTTCCCTGAATGCAGTGGGAAAAGATGAAAAGGAGAAGACAGGCAAGCACAGTGGCTCACACATGTAATCCCAACATATTGAGAGGCCGGGGCAAGAGGATCACTTGAGCCCAGGAGCTCAAGACCAGCCTGGACAACATGGCAAAAACCCATCTCTACAAAAAAGTATAAAAATTAGCTGGGCATGGCAGCATGTGACTGTAGTCACAGCTAGGCAGGAGAATGAAGTGGGAGGATCACCTGAGCCCAGGAGGCTGAGGCTTCAGTGAGCCTTGATGGCAACCCTGCACTCCAGCCTGGATGACAGAATGAGACCCTGTCTCAAAAAAGGAAAAAGAGAAGACATATGTAACACAGTGTCAGGATTCAAAATACATGTAGCAAAAATTCCAGAAGGGTAAGCAAATAAGCCCATACCTAGCCATCACTAGGGAAACTTCTGTGTTTCAGGGATAGAGAAAAAAACTCTGATTCCAGAAATAAAATGTGAAAATATAATACCCGCAAAAGAAATAAATTTATTGACACCACATTGATTCTATATTGTATAAGATATATTGTATAACACTAAATTGTAGAAGATAGCACTTCTCTTGAGCCAAGCTAATATGCACACCTAGAGGCTCCAGGTACACATTAAAGGATAAGCAAAGACACAAAAATTGTACCATTTAAGTATGTTTCCCAGGCAATTCATAAGCAAATTTTTAAAAAGGAGAATGATGAATTCCAAAGGAAATCTCAATGAGATAGGATGTAGGTAAAAAGAAAAAACAACAATAAAAAAAACATACACACAAAATCTTGGCAATGTAATAATAATTTATTAATAATCTCTCTAAACTCATAGAATATATCAATAAAACTAGAAAATGTGAGACAGCAAGAAAAGATAGGCTAGACTTACATTACAGAAAAGATGAGTAGACTGACTATATAGAGTTTGACTCTAAAATTGAGAAAAGAGGTTTAAATATGTGTCACGTGTATATGTATAATATACATGCACACATATAAAATGAAATTCCTCACTGGAAAAAATATTAAGTTTAATTTCCAAATTATTAGAATGACTAAAACAGTTGAATCTATCTGTTCCATATAGTAATTGAGGGGGAAGGAAAAGGAATAGCAAGGAATCCATTTTTCTCTTCCACCAGAAATAAGCTCCCTCATGTTTGGGTCAGGTCACTTTATTCATTGCTTTCTCCACATCCTCATCATTAGGCATCATGAAATCAATGAAAAGGCAGTGAAAGAATGATGATGAAAGCTAATCAAATGTATCATTTACCTCAATACGTTTGGTTTAATCTTCTTGTTGAAAGACAAATTCTCCTAGACAGGATCAAAAGCAACATATCTTGTATTTATAAAAAACATGTCTCAAGTAAAATGACATAGTATTATACACACACACACACATACACACACACACACACATTAAGGGAAAATGCAGACAAAAAATGGCAGAAATAATATTTAGAGAAAGATAGAATTTAAGAAAAAAAATTGTCAAACAGGTCTGCAAAATAATTGTTTTATTTTGGTGCCAGTTACAGTCCGCAATGAAGCGAAGATATTAAGAAGCAAAGTGGGCCAGGAGAAATTAGAGCAGAAATATCTCTTTCAATAGTGAGAGAATAGGAAAAAGAAGTAGAAAAGCTGGGAACAATAGGTAAAGTTTAGGCTAGGCCTTAGACTTCTCCTGCATTGTAATCCCTCTGGTTTGCCACATATGCATGCTGTCAGGAAGTTGATGAGGTATGTACAGCACAATTTATTTTCCATTTTTTGCCTTTAGGCACCGACTCATTGGTCACTCATCTGCTGAATGTATCCTCTCGGGCAATGCTGCCCATTGGAGCACGAAGCCGCCAATTTGTCAACGTGAGTTGAAATCTCTTTCCCCATTCACCCCACCGTTTAATCCTAGAGTTGTCCTCCTAGAATTACAAAGAATGGATCTCATCCCTCTTGGAAATGGTATCCTTCTCATATTTGAAGAATCCAGTCATATCCTTAAAATGGCTCACAGCATTCCAAACTTCCACCTTCAGCTAGAAATGCTTTTTTATTTTTTCTTATCTCAAGGTCTAATTTTTTTTAAACTAGTCTTTAGCTCACTTAAACAGTCCCCCAATTTCATCCTCTGTTGGGTGAACACCTCCCAGTTTAAAGAGCATTTTATTTAGTGAAGTCAACAAATACAAAGTCAGTGAAAGAAACCCCATATCCTCTCTGCAAGCTCTTAGTATCACATCAGATATTCAAGCCATGCAGCTCTTTCTTCCTTCTTATTCTTTGTCTAAACAGGATCATGCCATCTTCCCTGTGAGTTGTTTGGAAGATGAGCTTTCTACATTTTGGGGAGCAAAGACGAATGAGCAATTGCAAGCTAACAAGGAATATAAAATGTGTATAATCCTGGGTTTAGTGATGGTGTGAGGAAATCAGCAATTTCAAACCCAGTTGGTGGGAGGATAAGTGGGAACAAACTTTGTAGAAGGCCAATAAACTGGCTGGGCACTGCCCTACGGTAGAGTAGGACACAGTATTCAGTTCTTCCAAGATCAGACGAGATTGGGCGCATTTAGGGTGGTATGGTTGTAGATCAGTATCCAGTTCTTTTTATTATTTCTGAATCTGTAAGTATCATGTTTATTATATGTAATATTGTATATTTGTACTTTGTCTTTGTTAGTTCTTCCAGAGCTTTTGTTCTTATTATTTAATAAAGATGTTATACTGAGCCACATGTGGTGACTCAAACGTGTAATCCCAGCACTTTGGGAGGCCTAGGTGAGCAGATGGCTTGAGTCCAGGAGTTTGAGACCAGCCTGTACAACATACTGAAACGCTGTCTCTACAAAAATACAAAAACTATACGGGCATGGTGGCACATGCCTGTAGTCCCAACTACTCAGGAGACTGAGAGGTGGGAGGATTGCTTGAGCCAGAGAGGTCGAGGCTGCAATGAGCCATGATCGTGCCACTGCACTCCAGTCTGGGCAGCAGAGCAAGACCTTGTCTCAAAAAAAATGCTATGCTGTATGCTTTATTATATTAATATCCAATAGAATAAAGACACATGCCTTCTATATAGAGAGAACTAAATTAATAATGGTGAGATAACAGTTAAATTCTCATTTAGCAGGAGAAATAAAAACATAGACTATAGGCTAGGCACAGTGGCTCATACCTGTAATCCCAGCACATTAGGAGGCTGAGGTGGGCAGATCACTTGAGGTCAGTAGTTTGAGACCACCCTGGCCAACATAATGAAACCCCGCCTCTACTAAAAATACAAAAGTTAGCCGAGTTTGGTGGCGCATGCCTGAAATCCCAGCTACTCAGGAGGCTGAGGCAGGAAAATCGCTTGAACCTGGGAGGCAAGGGCTGCAGTGAGCCAAGATCACGCCACTGCACTCCAGCCTGGGGAACAGAGTGAGGATCTGTTAAAAAAAAAAAAAAAAAGTGGACTCTAATAATACATGGACACATTTAGTGAAATAAACTTAACTGAGTAGAGCAGAACTTATAATATTTTAAAACTGTAAGAACATGTCTGTACATTAGCAAATAGTAGATGAGAATAGTATTTTCAATATTTACTTCTGGTAATTTGGAATTAAAAAAAAAACTTTTGGGAAAATTTACAATAAAGTATGATTTTAACAAACCAGGCTAGGCGTGGTGGCTCACGCTTATAATCCCAGCACTTTGAAAAGCAGAGGCATGCAGATTGCTTGAGGCCAGGAGTTCAAGACTAGCCTGCCCAACATGGCCAAACCCCATCTCTACTAAAAATACAAAAATAAACCAGACATGGTAGTGCATGCCTGTGATCCCAGCTACTCGGGAAGTTGAGGTAGGAGGATTGCTTGACCTGGGAAGTGGAGGTTGCAGTGAGCCATGATCGTGCCACTACACTCCAGCCTGGGTGACAGAGCAAGACTCTGTCCCAAGGTTTTGTTTTGGTTAACTTGCTGTCCCTTTTTCCAGGAATTCCTTGTGGGCTACCCCCCACCATCGCCAATGGAGATTTCATTAGCACCAACAGAGAGAATTTTCACTATGGATCAGTGGTGACCTACCGCTGCAATCCTGGAAGCGGAGGGAGAAAGGTGTTTGAGCTTGTGGGTGAGCCCTCCATATACTGCACCAGCAATGACGATCAAGTGGGCATCTGGAGCGGCCCGGCCCCTCAGTGCATTATACCTAACAAATGCACGCCTCCAAATGTGGAAAATGGAATATTGGTATCTGACAACAGAAGCTTATTTTCCTTAAATGAAGTTGTGGAGTTTAGGTGTCAGCCTGGCTTTGTCATGAAAGGACCCCGCCGTGTGAAGTGCCAGGCCCTGAACAAATGGGAGCCGGAGCTACCAAGCTGCTCCAGGGGTGAGTCTGACTGAGGCCTAGTAGGGCCCTGCAAGTGACATGCGTTGCTGTTGGATCAGGAGATTAGTATTTGTTCACGGGGAGGGATGTGTGCTGAGCAGGGTCGAGGAGCAAATTTTCTAAGTAGTGAACATGAAATTCAGGTGTGTAGACATGCACATGTGCTGAAATTGAGAAGCAAAGCTCAACCTGGGCAAGGGATATGATGTTTCTTTGGGGTTCTTATAAACAGATCTATCAATTACCTTTGAGTATAATAATGTTTGATACAAAATGAGTGATTCCTCTGCCCAGGCACTATAATACAGGCTACATGTGAATTTTAATCCTGAAAACAAAGTTATTAGGTAGTTCCCAGTTGTTCTATGTTTGTCTGTTTTGTTTTGCTTGAGATACTGTCTTGATCTGTCACTCAGGTTGGACTGCAGTGGTGCCATCATGGCATACTTCACCCTCCACCTCCCTGACTCAAGCAAGTCTCCTGCCTGAGCCTCCCAAGTAGCTGGGAATGTAGGTGCATGCCACCATGCCTGGCTAAGTTTTTTATATTTTTTTTGTAGGGACAGAGTCTCACCATGCTGCCCAGGCTGGTCTCAAACTCCTCAGCTCAAGCACCCACCCACCTTGGGCTCCCAAAGTGCTGGGATTATAGGCATGAGCCACTGTGCCCGGCCTCTATGTTTTACAGAGAATATGTGCCTTAGACACATCAGATAACATTCTGAGACAGTAACTTGCAGACAAAACTGGATTGCAAGTCCACCTCACTCCAGAGCCTTGGCTTTGCTCATCAGCATTCAGTCATGAAATCAAAACTTACTCTAGATACTTTCAAGGAGGGAGGGATTTCATGCAGGTTGTATTAGTCTGTTCTCACATTCCTATAAAAAACTACTTGAGCCTGGGTAATTTATAAAGAAAAGATGTTTAATTGACTCAGAGTTCTGTAGGCTGTACAGGAGGCATGGCTGGGAAAGTTACAATCATGGTGGAAGGCAAAGAGGAAGCACGCATATCTTCATATGCTTGGCAGGAGAGAGAGAGAGAGCAAGGCAGAGGTGTTACAGACTTTGAAACAAGCAGATCTTGACAGAACTCTATCACAAGACAGCACTAGGGTGATGGTGCTCAACCATTAGAAACCACCTCCATGATCCAGTCACCTCCCACCAGGCTCCTTCTCCAACACTGGGAATTACCATTTGACATGAGATTTGGGAGGGGACATAGAGCCAAACCATATCGCAGCTAATAGGTCACAAAAATGTTAGAAGGGCAGGAAAAGCAATAGGACAAAGGCAAAGTTACGAGAGATCAGGGAGCTGCTGTGGCTCCCAGTCTACAGCACAGGAGCCTGGAGTGATGGTGAAATGGCCAGCCCCTCCCACTGAGCAGGCAGCTCCCTGTAAGCTGCTAATACTGCAGGAGCCACCATTGCTGCCAGAATGCAGCTGATATTGCTGGAGCCAAAGTCATTGGCATCGTTACAATTGAAGCTGTAGCTACTCACTGAAGCCATCTATACTGCCACTGCCTGAGCCACTTCTAGAAGTAGAACAGATTCTGCCATCATCCTGCTTTTTAATTTGGTATATATGCCTCCAATTGGCAGAACCTAACCAGAGCCTAGCTATCAAGGAAGATGAACGATTTATTTTTAAGGCCTCCATTGTTAGCTGTCAAAAGACAGTGCAGAAATGTGAGGCTGGGGGCCAACAGAAATTTAACCAGCACAGCACCTCAATATTACATCACCAGGCATTGATTAGTCCAGGGAAACACTGGGTGATGAGCCCTGAAAATGGACATTACAGCATCAGAGTATTTACAAACTCCTTAAAGAAGTCATTTTTCTATTCCAATCCCCCATTTGATGCTTGAGAAAGCTGAAGTCCAGAAAAGGGAACTGATCTGCTCAAAGACAAACTGAAATTACTTTTTCCATTTTATAACAGTTTTATGTAATTTATTTGAGATCCAAATGTGTTTTGATTTCCCAAGATCAGATCAACTACATTAAGAGAGAGCCTGAGATGCCGTTACAATATGTTGTGTGAAATTACACTCTCATTATGGTGACAGTAGGTCTTTCAGATTTTGTTCGACAGTTTCCCACCTTCTCACTGAAGTGAAATGAATGACTAGGCAGCACCTTGCTACATAGCATGAAGAGAGGAGACCCATAGTTCTTTACCACCCTATGTCAGGTGGCCGCTGAGAGAAGACTTGAAAGGAGATGAGCATAGATGTATGGACGCTCTTTGTTGCACCAGTGTGATAGGTGATGGAGGGACCTATTAGATGGGACATGGGCAGGGGCACTCCTTTATTGCTTAAAATGCAAGACTAAATTGGTGATGCCTTTCTAGAAAGGAAGTATGAAGATACAAAAATCCATCATTCCTCCCAATTTTGTACTGGGTGAACAGTAATTGGAAGCATTCTAGAAGGAACTGTCCATTGTGAAATCTTAGTTGCATACTTTAGATGAAAAACAATGAATTGGAGATACCTCTGTTTTAGTCACAGTTGTGCCATGTGTCAGTTCTATGACTGATGGCAAGACATCTTCCTTGCCCCGTGTATTTAGTTTATCAATGTAATAAGGCTGTTATTCTAACTTTATTATTATATATAGATTCGTAATTATTATTCCCTTGGCCAGTTTAACAGTGAGAAAAAAGTTGTTTTCACACAATTAGCTGTACTTTGTTTCTCTCTCCCCAGTATGTCAGCCACCTCCAGATGTCCTGCATGCTGAGCGTACCCAAAGGGACAAGGACAACTTTTCACCCGGGCAGGAAGTGTTCTACAGCTGTGAGCCCGGCTACGACCTCAGAGGGGCTGCGTCTATGCGCTGCACACCCCAGGGAGACTGGAGCCCTGCAGCCCCCACATGTGAAGGTGACTAGACTCTTATCTGGCTTGATATTTTTAGCTTGCGTCTTTATTCTCCACATGCCAGTGATTTCTGTTCGTTTTTCTTTATCTCCAGTGAAATCCTGTGATGACTTCATGGGCCAACTTCTTAATGGCCGTGTGCTATTTCCAGTAAATCTCCAGCTTGGAGCAAAAGTGGATTTTGTTTGTGATGAAGGGTGAGTATGAGCTTGCCTGACCTGCTGGACATTGAAATTGGGGTTGGGAATCAGTCTAAAAAGGGGAGATTTGGTGTGGCACACACACACACACCTTCAGAGAGATGAACTTTCGAAAGTATACCTAGGAAGAAAGGAAAGAAACATATAGAACTAATAACATGAGATATGAAGAGGAAACTGGAACATATATTAACTGGCAAGTTCAAAGGCAAGTATAACTACTGGTTATGAATATATAAGTAACACATTAAGCAAAAAATATCAGCCAGAAACGGTGGCTCACCCCTGTAATCCTAGCACCTTTGGGAGGTTGAGGCGGGCAGATCACCTGAGGTCAGGAGTTGGAGACCAGCCTGGACAACATGATGAAACCCTGTCTCTACTAAAAATACAAAAGTTAGCTGGGTGTGGTGGCATGTGCCTGTAATCCCAGCTATTCCGGAGGCTGAGGCACCAGAATCACTTGAACCTGGGAGGTGGAGTTTGCAGTGAGCCGAGATGGCACCATTGCACTCCAGCGTGGACAATAAGAGTGAAACTCCATCTCAGGAAAAAAAATCATATTTTACAAGCAAAAAGGAATATGAGTAATTTAGAGAGTCCCAGGAAAAAACTGGAAGTAACAAAAGCTTATTATAAAAAGCTAGGATCATTTGTGAATCATTTCAGTAAATTCTTTAAATCGTCAACAGTGAAATTTGTAATAGGACTGAAAATGTAAAAATCAGCATTTTTTAAAAAAATCCAGCCATATATCATCTGGTTAATCATGGGCTCTGGGCTCTGAGCTGGGGTCCTGATGGCTGCTGTTAATATTTCCAGCAAGCTCATTACCTTGTTTATGTCCACCTAGTGCTCTTCGCAGGGTGCACATCTCTACACGGGAGCTGACCGGCATGGGCAACAAAGCACCTGATCCCAAAATGTAACACAGAATCTTGGCAGCCTCCAAATGCCAGCACCCAGTAAGAGTTAGGAGGGCATCGGGGTCCAGCAGACATTGAGAATTTTCGACAATTGCATGCAAAAAATAAGTCCTCTCTTCTTTCCTTTTTCCCCTAGAATATTCATGCTTACTCTTCAGCAGCCCAAATTGCCCTTTTGAGCCTTCTTCACGCCATCACAGATGTGGAGATGAAAGGACAGTCTGTTCTCTCGCCAGCTATTTCCCACTTTTCCACTCCAAACTGGGAGCTGTTTTACTTGCTGTTCCAGGGTCAGAGTTAGGAAGGCATTACATTAGAAGACTGGGTTTCTAATAACAACAATGAGTGATTTATCAGGTTATCATGGAGTAATCAGTGAAACTCCAAGCCTGGGTCCTGGGTCAAGGGGATGGCGCCTATGTCATGACCACCTTTTTCAGTTCAAGCAGGACTATCATGTGACCAAGCTACTGCATTTTGCCATTCTATATTGTTCCCTTCTGGAGGCTGTGATTTTTCCAGAATAAGGTAGCCTGTGCAACTCTGCCACCTGCTGGCCTAAGGTCCTAATAATCCTGAAATTGGGGCTGGGCCTTAGATTGTGAACTAAGGGTTCTCTTGGCTGAAACAGCTCACACTATTCACTCCTATTTTCTTCTTTAGATTTCAATTAAAAGGCAGCTCTGCTAGTTACTGTGTCTTGGCTGGAATGGAAAGCCTTTGGAATAGCAGTGTTCCAGTGTGTGAACGTGAGTAGCAGGAGTAACATTTCAGGCCAGTCTCTCCCTTCATCTGTTCAGTATTTGACCCATGACCTCCCCTAATGTGGTTCTTCAATTTTCTAGTTTGAATTATTGATTTGAAAATTGCTTATTTTAATAATGTTTGGTTGTGAATCAAATGTATACATCACCTGTCTTTGGAACCATCTGATCTGTCTCTGTCCTTCTGTATTCTGTGTTCTAGTGCGATAAATCCTATGGTAGCATGATTCTAGGTCAGGAGAGATTAGATAATGTGAAGCCTTAACAATTTGCTTTCTTTCTCTCTTTCTTTTGTTTCTTTTTTCTCTTCCTTCCTTTCTTCAGTTCTTTCTTCCCTTCTCTTTCTCTCCCCTTTCTTCCTTCCTTCCTCCTTCTTTCTTTTCCATTTTGTTCTTCCATCAGGTGCAGTCTACAATTTTTGTATATATTTGATAATACACAAATATTAAACATGCCTTTATTTAATCAATATTTATTGATCACATACTTTGTGCCTGATGTTCATCTAGCCACAGGAGTTATATCAGTGAACAAGATGAATGAATTCCCTGTCCCCATGTTGTTTCCACTCAGTTGGGGAAAGGGACAAGAAAAAAAATAAATACGATGCTATGAAGATAGTAGAGCAAAGCATTTAGGCATGAGGGAAAAGTGAGGAGCAACATTAGACAAGGCGAGCAGTTTGAGACTCCTTAAATTCTCAAAACATGTACCTAAATAATTTATGCTGAGAGATTCATAAATAATGTCATTTTTAAAAATTTATTATACTTTTAAGTTCTAGGGTACATGTGCACAACGTGCAGGTTTGTTACATATGTATACATGTGCCATGTTGGTGTGCTGCACCCATTAACTCGTCATTTACATTAGGTATATCTCCTAATGCTATCCCTCCCCGCTTCCCCCACCCCACAACAGGCCCCGGTGTGTGATGTTCCCCTTTTTGTGTCCAAGTGTTCTCACTGTTCAATTCCCACCTATGAGTGAGAACATGTGGTGTTTGGTTTTTTGTCCTTGTGATAGTTTGCTGAGAATGATGGTTTCCAGCTTCATCCATGTCCCTAAAAAGGACATGAACTCATCAATTTTTATGGCTGCATAGTATTCCATGGTGTATATGTGCCACATTTTCTTAATCCAGTCTATCATTGATGGACATTTGGGTTGGTTCCAAGTCTTTGCTATTGTGAATAATGCAGCAATAAACATATGTGTGCATGTGTCTTTATAGCAGCATGATTTATAATCCTTTGGGTATATACCCAGTAATGGGATCGCTGGGTCAAATGGTATTTCTAGTTCTAGATCTTTGAGGAATCACCACACTGTCTTCCACAATGGTTGAACTAGGTTACAGTCCCACCAACAGTGTAAAAATGTTCCTATTTCTCCACATCTTCTCCAGCACCTGTTGTTTCCTGACTTTTTAATGATAGCCATTCTAACTGGTGTGAGATGGTATCTCATTGTGGTTTTGATTTGCATTTCTCTGATGGCCAGTGATGATGAGCATTTTTTCATGTGTCTGTTAGCTGCATAAATGTCTTCTTTTGAGAAGTGTCTGTTCATATCCTTCACCCACTTTTTGATGGGGTTGTTTTTTTCTTTTAAATTTGTTTGAGTTCATTGTAGATTCTGGATATTAGCCCTTTGTCAGATGAGTAGATTGCAAAAATGTTCTCCCATTCTGTAGGTTGTCTGTTCACTCTGATGGTAGTTTCTTTTGCTGTGCAGAAGCTCTTTAGTTTAATTATATCCCCTTTGTCAATTTTGGCTTTTGTTGCCATTGCTTTTGGTGTTTTAGACATGAAGTCCTTGCCCATGCCTGTGTCCTGAATGGTATTGCCTATGTTTTCTTCTAGGATTTTTATGGTTTTAGGTCTAACATTTATGTCTTTAATCCATCTTGAATTAATTTTTGTATACAGTGTAAGGAAGGGATCCAGTTTCAGCTTTCTACATATGGCTAGCCAGTTTTCCCAGTACCATTTATTAAATAGGGAATCCTTTCCCCATTTCTTGTTTTTGTCAGGTTTGTCAAAGATCAGATGGTTGTAGATGTGTAGTATTATTTCTGAGGGCTCTGTTCTGTTGCATTGGTCTATATCTCTGTTTTGGTACCAGTACCATGCTGTTTTGGTTACTGTAGCCTTGTAGTATAGTTTGAAGTCAGGTAGTTTGATGCCTCCAGTTTGTTCTTTTGGCTTAGGATAGACTTGGCAATGCAGGCTTTTTAAATAATGTCATTTTTAAAAAATGAGCCCCATATGTTCAATAATGAGTAGACTACTGATTTCTCCTAGTCTCCCCATTTATAATTTCCCCAATAGAAGATAGAACTTTGCTTCATTTCTTGATTCTAATGATTGGGAAATGTGTTTCTTTAGAAAACCATGAAATTTTACTAAAATGTTTATGTTGTTAGAAATGGACATCTTACAGTGCTTTTTAGAGTAAAATTTTGGAAGAACATAACTTATATAGAGATTCTTGCTGTCTAAGAAATTCAGTGCTCCTTGAAGCAGCATGACAAATTTCTGTTCTACCATCATGAATGAAAGCTCATTGATTGGACTACTCAAGCTTTCTCTTATTTTTCATAACTGTTGCTAGTTAAAGTAGCTTCTTCCAAATTCCAGTTCTAATGAAAAATGCCAATTAGAAATGAGGAAGAAACTGTTCTAAACAAATCAGCAGATGCTAGAAAGGAGAAACAACTTGAAACCTGACCCAGAAAGTTAAAAGAGAAAATAAATCATCAACAGACCTAGACATTTTCAAAAGCAAAGCCATCTGAATCCATTTGGAGTTGTTTTTTATCATGGCCTTACTATGTTTTAATTCACTGTGACAGGGCTATTGTTATCACTGAGATTGATGATCAATATCAAGAAGTAATCAGCGAAAGGTTTCACCTATTTAAGATGATTAGCACACATATGTACATTTGAGAAATATTTCCTAAGAATGCAGGCTCCTTCCTCAGCACTCTGTCCCCAGGATCCTGATGAGTGGCTGACACAGGACAAGTGCTTAATTAATATATATTGACTAAATGAATGAGCAACCCTTCAAAATGGCTATTTTTCTTTTTCAAATGTTTTGCTACTTCATTAAAGTTGTAAAGTTTCCATTGTCCAGGAACCGTTACTATCCGGAAGATTCAGGATAGACAAGTCTCTTTTGTACTTTGCAATACACTTTCATTGATATCTCATTTAATCCAACTCTTCAAAGTCCTAATGTCTACTGTCATCTCCTTAGCATATTTTCAGCAACACCAATCATAGCACCCTGTAATTGCAGAATACCTCTGGTGAAACTCCTGAATGAAACTTAGAGCTTTCATGTTTTTTCTAGAAATCTTTTGTCCAAGTCCTCCAGTTATTCCTAATGGGAGACACACAGGAAAACCTCTGGAAGTCTTTCCCTTTGGGAAAACAGTAAATTACACATGCGACCCCCACCCAGACAGAGGGACGAGCTTCGACCTCATTGGAGAGAGCACCATCCGCTGCACAAGTGACCCTCAAGGGAATGGGGTTTGGAGCAGCCCTGCCCCTCGCTGTGGAATTCTGGGTTAGTGCTCATTTCCCCACATCCCAAATGGGTTCAGAATATCTAACCCAGGCCCTCCATATTTCCGTAATTACAATGTGGTATTTATTTGTGCATTTGCCACAATGGAATGCCAAACCAATGATAGATGGTTCTAAGGTAGGTCAACACATAAGATCCTGATGACCTTTGCAGATGGAGGGACTGATGAAAAAAGAGGGAGGCGGTGAGTGGTGGGAAAGTCCTTCATTAGAATCATATGAATTAAAAACAGATGCCTGTGAATCTCCTTATTGAAATGTTTGGTTTAGAAATCTGACCTAGAAAATCGGTGGCTCCTTCTGCCAGGAAACGTCTTGAGTTCCCGCCCATGCTTGACAGCCTCTCATTGGAGTTTTGATGACTTGAAGTACAAGGAAACCAGACAGGAAAGGTGGAACCTGGGCAGAAAAACTCTTTCTGGCTTCCTAAAAATGTGAAAAATTAAATGGGAGCTATCTTTACATTAAATTATATGAGCATTAGCTGAGCGTGGTGGCAATTGCCTGTGGTCCCAGCTACTCGAGAGGCTGAGATGGGAGTATCCCTTAAGCCTGGGAGGCAGAGGTTGCAGTGAGCCAAGATTGTGCCACTGCACTCCAGCCTGGGTGACAGAGCGAGACCCTATCTCAAAAACAATAAAAATAGGCATTAGGAGGCCAAGGCTGGTGGATCACTAGAGGTCAGGAGTTCCAGACCAGCCCGCAAACACAGTGAAACTCCAACTCTACTAAAAATAGAAAAAAAATTTAAAAACAAAAATAAATTATATGAGTAGAAAGACCAGATAGCAGGCTAGTCTTCCAAATAATATACTTCCTTATAAGCCTATGCTAATGGAACTTTCCTTTCTATTTTACAGGGAAGTTTTTTTTTTTTCATAACTAAAATTTTCTTTTCTTCTGGCATCAAATCTACCAAGGAAGAGAAAAGAGGAAACACACTGGGTATCTTTTTATTAACTCAAATATTCTTGATTTCTTGGTCTCTAGGTCACTGTCAAGCCCCAGATCATTTTCTGTTTGCCAAGTTGAAAACCCAAACCAATGCATCTGACTTTCCCATTGGGACATCTTTAAAGTACGAATGCCGTCCTGAGTACTACGGGAGGCCATTCTCTATCACATGTCTAGATAACCTGGTCTGGTCAAGTCCCAAAGATGTCTGTAAACGTGCGTAAACTTGCGTTGGATCTTTCCCATGTCTGCAAAAGCTTCTTATGGAATTATTTCAAATGTGGGATATGAGAAACCTTTTCTGAAAAGTGTTCGGATAGATGGATGTAAGAGTTTTTCTTGTAGGCATCCTTGATTGTTGCTTGAAATGTTAACTTCATGAGAATGTTTCAAGAAATAGTTGTAGAGAAAATCTTCATTCCCTATGGGAAAGAAAATAATAAATGACTAGATCAGGAAAAAAATGGTGTAGGAAGACAAATTCTGTTTGAATAACTAGGTGGGAAGAAATCCTTTGCAAACTTTGAAATATATTGATAGTAAATAATGCCATAAATGACCTTTACATTTTGATAAGGGATGCAAGGTCTCTACACAGATCTAAATCTAGATCTAGATAGATCTGGAGGGAAGGTCTTTTTGAAAGTGGGGCTTAGTAGGTGGCTGATCCTCAGCGCTCTGATGAGTTTTCTCAAGGTGCCAAAATCTGTGGAACCATCAGAACCGCGTGTTTTCTTCAGGAAGCTACATGCAGGTTGAGACCTTACGTACTGAAGAGAGTTCAGATTACTCTACCTGGCTCCAAAACATTTTCTTTCCCACAGGTAAATCATGTAAAACTCCTCCAGATCCAGTGAATGGCATGGTGCATGTGATCACAGACATCCAGGTTGGATCCAGAATCAACTATTCTTGTACTACAGGGTGAGTTGGCAGCAACATCTCTTGGTTTAAGAGTTCCAGCACAGCGATAGTACTTTCTAGCCACATCTCAGCAAGGAAACTAGGCTATTGCCACCTGCTCTTAAGAGGCTTGAACACAGGTGTTAACTCCTGATTGAAATGAACAAAGATAGGAGAAGATTAGGGGGAAAATCTGTATCCTTGCTGGAAACCAGGGCAGTGCACATATAAAGAGTATGCTGTTCACTGGATGGGAAAGAAAAAAAATTAGAAGTGTAGTAGTCAAAGCACACAAACAACCCTAACCCAGAGTAGACATTGCTGGAAGAAAGGGAAGACCATGTAGCAGCTGTGTGAGAGAATGAATCTTAATGATAACAGCATGATCCCTTGCTAGGGCTGCCATCAAAAAGTACAGGCCTTCCTCGTTTTATTGTACTTCGCAGATGTTATGCTTTTTACAAATTGAACGCTTGTGGGAACGCTGTGTAAGCATGTTCGTCGGCATCATTTATCCAACAGCGTGTGTTGACTTCGTGTCTCTGTGTAGCATTTTGATTATTCTCACAGTATCCCAGATGTTTTCATTATTATCATGTCTGTGATAGTGATCTGTCATCAGTGATCTTTGATGTTACTATTGTCATTGTTTGGGGTCCCTACGAACTGCACCCATATAAGACAGAAAACTTAATCAATAAATGTGCGTGCTTTGACTGCTCCATGGACTAGACATTCCCCTTCTGTCTCCCTCTCTTCAGGACTCCCTAATCCCTGAGACACAATAATACTAAAATGACTCCAATTAATAACCCTACAATAGCCTTTAAGTGTTGACATGAAGGGAAGAGTCATGCATCTCTTACTTTAAATCAAAAGCTAGAGATGATTAAGCTTACTGAGGAAGATACGTTGAAAACCAAGATAGGCCAAAAGCCATTCCTCATGTGCCAAACAGCTAGAAAGTTGTAAAGGCAAAGTAAAAATACTTGAAGGAAATTTAAAATGCTCTTCCAGTGAACACATGTATGATAAGAAGGTAAAACAGCCTTATTGCTGATATGGAAGAAGTTTTAGTGGTCTAGATATAAGATCAAACTAGAAACATTTCCTGAAGCCAAAGCGTAATCCTGAGCAAGGCCGTAACTCTCTTCAATTCTGTGAAGGCTGACAGAAGCTGGAAGCTAGCAGAATTTGGTTCCTGAGGTTTAAGGAAAGAAGCCCTCTCCATAACATAAAGGTCCAAGGTGAAGCAGCCAGTGCTCATATAGAAGTTGCAGCAAGTTATCTAGAAAATCTAGCTAAGATCACTGACGAAGGTGTTACACTAAATAACAGATTTTCCATGTAGACAAAACAGCCATCTATTGGACTTTCATAGCTAGAGAGGAGAAGCCAATACCTGGGTTCAAAGCTTCAAAGAACAGGCTGACTTTTTAGGAGCTAATGCCGCTGGTGACTTTGAGTTGAAGCCAATGTTCACCGACCATTCTAAAAATCCTAGGGCCCTTAAGCATTAAGTTAAATATACCTTGCCTGTGTCTATAAATGGAAGAACAAAGCCTGATGACAGAGGTATGTTTGCGGCATAGTTTACTGAATATTTTAAGCCCACTGTTGAGATCTAGTGCTCAGAAAAACAGATTCCTTTCAAAATATTACTGCTCATTGACATTGCACCTAAGCAGCCAAGAGCTCTAATGGAGATGGACATGGAGATGAATGGAGTTTTCCTGCCTGCTAACAACGGCAGCCATTCTGCAGCCCATGGCTGAAGGAGTAATTTTGACTTTCAAGTTTCACTATTTAAGAAATACATTTTGTAAGGTGAGTCCCCACAGACAGTAATTCCTCTGATGGATCTGAACAAAATAAGTTGAAAACTGCTGGAAAGAATTCATCATTCTACATACCATTAAGAACATTCGTGATTCATGGGAAGAGCTTAAAATATCAACATTAATAGGAGTTTGGTAGAAGTTAATTCCAACCCTCATGGCTGACTTTGAGAGGTTCAAGACTTCAGCGGAGGAAATAACTGAAGATGTGGTGAAAATCGCAAGAGAACTACAATTAGAAGTGGAGCCTGAAGACGTGACTGAATTGCGACAAATTCATGATCAAACTTGAACAGATGAGGAGTTGCTTCTCATGAATCAGCAGAGAAAGTGGTTTTTTTGAGGTGGAGTGTCTTCCTGGTGATGATGACATGAGCATTGTGAAAATGACCACAAAGGATACAGAATATTACAAAAACTTAGGTGATAAAGCAGCAGCAGTATCGGGAGGATTAACTCCAATTTTGAAAGCAGTTCAGAGGGTAAAATGTTATCAAACAGCATTGCATGCTAGAAAAATCTTTTGTGAAAGGAAGAGTCCATCAATACAGCAATTTTATTGCTGTCTCAGCTTAAGAAATTGCCACAGCCACCCCAGCCTTCAGCAACCACCACCCTGATCAGTCAGCAGCCATCAACCTTGAGGCAAGACCCTCCACCAACAAAAAGATTACAAATTATTGAAGGTCAGATAATCTTTAGTATTTTCTTATCAATAAACCTTTTTTTAAAGTATGACTTTGTTTAGACATAATGCTATTTCACACTTAATAGACTACCGTATAGTATAAACACAACTTTTAGACTCACTGAGAAATCAAAAAATTCATCTGACTCATTTGTTGTGATATGTGTTTTATTGTGGTGGTCTGGAACTGAACCTGCAATATATTTGAGGAATGTCTGTAACACGAAGTGGGCGGCTTAATACAACAGAAGTTTTTGGAGTTCCATTCTAGAGACTGGAAATCCAAAATCAAGGTTTTGGGAGGGCCACGCTCCCTCTGAATCCTGTAGGGAAGGATCCTTCATTGCATCTTCCAGCTTCTGGAGCCACAGGCCTTCCTTGGCATGTGGCAGCAGAACTCCAATTTCTGTCTCTGTCCTCATATGGCCATCTTCCCTCTGGGTCTGTGTCCTCATATGCTGTTCTCTCTGTGCATGTCTGTTTCCAAAGTTTTCCCTTTTAATAAGGACACCAGTCACACTGGATTAGGGCCTACCTTCATGACCTCACCTTAACTTGATTGCGTCTGCAAAGATCGTATTTCCAAATAAGGTCACATCCACAGGGACTGGAGGTTAAGACTTCAGCATACTCAGGGGAGACACAATTCAACCTATAACAGAGCCCCTTTGAAAATGTCAGGCATCAGGTGCTCACAGCACACGGTCCAGCTGTTGGTGCTCACCCTTGCTCAGCACACGGTGGAGGCTCTGCCTCAATCTCATTCTTCATGGGAACAGCTAAGCCAGGTAGCGAATACGAGTTACGTTTGTGTCACCACAGCAGACACTGAAAGGAAGTTTGTGGTGTCCAGCACATTTGCCAGCATAGGCCTCACAGACCACAACACCTAGAATCTGACAAAAATTAGAATAAATCCGATGTCTCCTTTTCTCTCTTTTTTTAAGCATTTTTAAATACAATTGGTAAATTTCCTGACTGTACCCTACTCATCTTGCATTGCTGAATAAGTGAGGAACCTCTCTATGGCATGAAGCAGAAAACCATTGAGCTTATGAGAAGAAACAGGAAATACATGTAAAAGAGACCAGTCTGAAAAATCAGGAGAAATTTTACAAAAGAGATTTACTGCCAAGAAACCAGGGAAACTTTCAGAACACTCTCCTTTTCATATTTGTAACAAGATTCAATTGTACAAATACTTCTGTGAAACTAGCCATGAAGTGTGTACATGAATGAATATATGTATTCAGTGTGTTTATATATTTCATTTCATACATGTGATCTATATCATATATATATATATATATATATATATATATATCACAATGAATATTGCAGAAAATTAAAGCAAAGAGTAAGAAGAGTTAACCAAATGTTCCCTGAATGCAGTGGGAAAAGATGAAAAGGAGAAGACAGGCAAGCACAGTGGCTCACACATGTAATCCCAACATATTGAGAGGCCGGGGCAAGAGGATCACTTGAGCCCAGGAGCTCAAGACCAGCCTGGACAACATGGCAAAAACCCATCTCTACAAAAAAGTATAAAAATTAGCTGGGCATGGCAGCATGTGACTGTAGTCACAGCTAGGCAGGAGAATGAAGTGGGAGGATCACCTGAGCCCAGGAGGCTGAGGCTTCAGTGAGCCTTGATGGCAACCCTGCACTCCAGCCTGGATGACAGAATGAGACCCTGTCTCAAAAAAGGAAAAAGAGAAGACATATGTAACACAGTGTCAGGATTCAAAATACATGTAGCAAAAATTCCAGAAGGGTAAGCAAATAAGCCCATACCTAGCCATCACTAGGGAAACTTCTGTGTTTCAGGGATAGAGAAAAAAACTCTGATTCCAGAAATAAAATGTGAAAATATAATACCCGCAAAAGAAATAAATTTATTGACACCACATTGATTCTATATTGTATAAGATATATTGTATAACACTAAATTGTAGAAGATAGCACTTCTCTTGAGCCAAGCTAATATGCACACCTAGAGGCTCCAGGTACACATTAAAGGATAAGCAAAGACACAAAAATTGTACCATTTAAGTATGTTTCCCAGGCAATTCATAAGCAAATTTTTAAAAAGGAGAATGATGAATTCCAAAGGAAATCTCAATGAGATAGGATGTAGGTAAAAAGAAAAAACAACAATAAAAAAAACATACACACAAAATCTTGGCAATGTAATAATAATTTATTAATAATCTCTCTAAACTCATAGAATATATCAATAAAACTAGAAAATGTGAGACAGCAAGAAAAGATAGGCTAGACTTACATTACAGAAAAGATGAGTAGACTGACTATATAGAGTTTGACTCTAAAATTGAGAAAAGAGGTTTAAATATGTGTCACGTGTATATGTATAATATACATGCACACATATAAAATGAAATTCCTCACTGGAAAAAATATTAAGTTTAATTTCCAAATTATTAGAATGACTAAAACAGTTGAATCTATCTGTTCCATATAGTAATTGAGGGGGAAGGAAAAGGAATAGCAAGGAATCCATTTTTCTCTTCCACCAGAAATAAGCTCCCTCATGTTTGGGTCAGGTCACTTTATTCATTGCTTTCTCCACATCCTCATCATTAGGCATCATGAAATCAATGAAAAGGCAGTGAAAGAATGATGATGAAAGCTAATCAAATGTATCATTTACCTCAATACGTTTGGTTTAATCTTCTTGTTGAAAGACAAATTCTCCTAGACAGGATCAAAAGCAACATATCTTGTATTTATAAAAAACATGTCTCAAGTAAAATGACATAGTATTATACACACACACACACATACACACACACACACACATTAAGGGAAAATGCAGACAAAAAATGGCAGAAATAATATTTAGAGAAAGATAGAATTTAAGAAAAAAAATTGTCAAACAGGTCTGCAAAATAATTGTTTTATTTTGGTGCCAGTTACAGTCCGCAATGAAGCGAAGATATTAAGAAGCAAAGTGGGCCAGGAGAAATTAGAGCAGAAATATCTCTTTCAATAGTGAGAGAATAGGAAAAAGAAGTAGAAAAGCTGGGAACAATAGGTAAAGTTTAGGCTAGGCCTTAGACTTCTCCTGCATTGTAATCCCTCTGGTTTGCCACATATGCATGCTGTCAGGAAGTTGATGAGGTATGTACAGCACAATTTATTTTCCATTTTTTGCCTTTAGGCACCGACTCATTGGTCACTCATCTGCTGAATGTATCCTCTCGGGCAATGCTGCCCATTGGAGCACGAAGCCGCCAATTTGTCAACGTGAGTTGAAATCTCTTTCCCCATTCACCCCACCGTTTAATCCTAGAGTTGTCCTCCTAGAATTACAAAGAATGGATCTCATCCCTCTTGGAAATGGTATCCTTCTCATATTTGAAGAATCCAGTCATATCCTTAAAATGGCTCACAGCATTCCAAACTTCCACCTTCAGCTAGAAATGCTTTTTTATTTTTTCTTATCTCAAGGTCTAATTTTTTTTAAACTAGTCTTTAGCTCACTTAAACAGTCCCCCAATTTCATCCTCTGTTGGGTGAACACCTCCCAGTTTAAAGAGCATTTTATTTAGTGAAGTCAACAAATACAAAGTCAGTGAAAGAAACCCCATATCCTCTCTGCAAGCTCTTAGTATCACATCAGATATTCAAGCCATGCAGCTCTTTCTTCCTTCTTATTCTTTGTCTAAACAGGATCATGCCATCTTCCCTGTGAGTTGTTTGGAAGATGAGCTTTCTACATTTTGGGGAGCAAAGACGAATGAGCAATTGCAAGCTAACAAGGAATATAAAATGTGTATAATCCTGGGTTTAGTGATGGTGTGAGGAAATCAGCAATTTCAAACCCAGTTGGTGGGAGGATAAGTGGGAACAAACTTTGTAGAAGGCCAATAAACTGGCTGGGCACTGCCCTACGGTAGAGTAGGACACAGTATTCAGTTCTTCCAAGATCAGACGAGATTGGGCGCATTTAGGGTGGTATGGTTGTAGATCAGTATCCAGTTCTTTTTATTATTTCTGAATCTGTAAGTATCATGTTTATTATATGTAATATTGTATATTTGTACTTTGTCTTTGTTAGTTCTTCCAGAGCTTTTGTTCTTATTATTTAATAAAGATGTTATACTGAGCCACATGTGGTGACTCAAACGTGTAATCCCAGCACTTTGGGAGGCCTAGGTGAGCAGATGGCTTGAGTCCAGGAGTTTGAGACCAGCCTGTACAACATACTGAAACGCTGTCTCTACAAAAATACAAAAACTATACGGGCATGGTGGCACATGCCTGTAGTCCCAACTACTCAGGAGACTGAGAGGTGGGAGGATTGCTTGAGCCAGAGAGGTCGAGGCTGCAATGAGCCATGATCGTGCCACTGCACTCCAGTCTGGGCAGCAGAGCAAGACCTTGTCTCAAAAAAAATGCTATGCTGTATGCTTTATTATATTAATATCCAATAGAATAAAGACACATGCCTTCTATATAGAGAGAACTAAATTAATAATGGTGAGATAACAGTTAAATTCTCATTTAGCAGGAGAAATAAAAACATAGACTATAGGCTAGGCACAGTGGCTCATACCTGTAATCCCAGCACATTAGGAGGCTGAGGTGGGCAGATCACTTGAGGTCAGTAGTTTGAGACCACCCTGGCCAACATAATGAAACCCCGCCTCTACTAAAAATACAAAAGTTAGCCGAGTTTGGTGGCGCATGCCTGAAATCCCAGCTACTCAGGAGGCTGAGGCAGGAAAATCGCTTGAACCTGGGAGGCAAGGGCTGCAGTGAGCCAAGATCACGCCACTGCACTCCAGCCTGGGGAACAGAGTGAGGATCTGTTAAAAAAAAAAAAAAAAAGTGGACTCTAATAATACATGGACACATTTAGTGAAATAAACTTAACTGAGTAGAGCAGAACTTATAATATTTTAAAACTGTAAGAACATGTCTGTACATTAGCAAATAGTAGATGAGAATAGTATTTTCAATATTTACTTCTGGTAATTTGGAATTAAAAAAAAAACTTTTGGGAAAATTTACAATAAAGTATGATTTTAACAAACCAGGCTAGGCGTGGTGGCTCACGCTTATAATCCCAGCACTTTGAAAAGCAGAGGCATGCAGATTGCTTGAGGCCAGGAGTTCAAGACTAGCCTGCCCAACATGGCCAAACCCCATCTCTACTAAAAATACAAAAATAAACCAGACATGGTAGTGCATGCCTGTGATCCCAGCTACTCGGGAAGTTGAGGTAGGAGGATTGCTTGACCTGGGAAGTGGAGGTTGCAGTGAGCCATGATCGTGCCACTACACTCCAGCCTGGGTGACAGAGCAAGACTCTGTCCCAAGGTTTTGTTTTGGTTAACTTGCTGTCCCTTTTTCCAGGAATTCCTTGTGGGCTACCCCCCACCATCGCCAATGGAGATTTCATTAGCACCAACAGAGAGAATTTTCACTATGGATCAGTGGTGACCTACCGCTGCAATCCTGGAAGCGGAGGGAGAAAGGTGTTTGAGCTTGTGGGTGAGCCCTCCATATACTGCACCAGCAATGACGATCAAGTGGGCATCTGGAGCGGCCCGGCCCCTCAGTGCATTATACCTAACAAATGCACGCCTCCAAATGTGGAAAATGGAATATTGGTATCTGACAACAGAAGCTTATTTTCCTTAAATGAAGTTGTGGAGTTTAGGTGTCAGCCTGGCTTTGTCATGAAAGGACCCCGCCGTGTGAAGTGCCAGGCCCTGAACAAATGGGAGCCGGAGCTACCAAGCTGCTCCAGGGGTGAGTCTGACTGAGGCCTAGTAGGGCCCTGCAAGTGACATGCGTTGCTGTTGGATCAGGAGATTAGTATTTGTTCACGGGGAGGGATGTGTGCTGAGCAGGGTCGAGGAGCAAATTTTCTAAGTAGTGAACATGAAATTCAGGTGTGTAGACATGTACATGTGCTGAAATTGAGAAGCAAAGCTCAACCTGGGCAAGGGATATGATGTTTCTTTGGGGTTCTTATAAACAGATCTATCAATTACCTTTGAGTATAATAATGTTTGATACAAAATGAGTGATTCCTCTGCCCAGGCACTATAATACAGGCTACATGTGAATTTTAATCCTGAAAACAAAGTTATTAGGTAGTTCCCAGTTGTTCTATGTTTGTCTGTTTTGTTTTGCTTGAGATACTGTCTTGATCTGTCACTCAGGTTGGACTGCAGTGGTGCCATCATGGCATACTTCACCCTCCACCTCCCTGACTCAAGCAAGTCTCCTGCCTGAGCCTCCCAAGTAGCTGGGAATGTAGGTGCATGCCACCATGCCTGGCTAAGTTTTTTATATTTTTTTTGTAGGGACAGAGTCTCACCATGCTGCCCAGGCTGGTCTCAAACTCCTCAGCTCAAGCACCCACCCACCTTGGGCTCCCAAAGTGCTGGGATTATAGGCATGAGCCACTGTGCCCGGCCTCTATGTTTTACAGAGAATATGTGCCTTAGACACATCAGATAACATTCTGAGACAGTAACTTGCAGACAAAACTGGATTGCAAGTCCACCTCACTCCAGAGCCTTGGCTTTGCTCATCAGCATTCAGTCATGAAATCAAAACTTACTCTAGATACTTTCAAGGAGGGAGGGATTTCATGCAGGTTGTATTAGTCTGTTCTCACATTCCTATAAAAAACTACTTGAGCCTGGGTAATTTATAAAGAAAAGATGTTTAATTGACTCAGAGTTCTGTAGGCTGTACAGGAGGCATGGCTGGGAAAGTTACAATCATGGTGGAAGGCAAAGAGGAAGCACGCATATCTTCATATGCTTGGCAGGAGAGAGAGAGAGAGCAAGGCAGAGGTGTTACAGACTTTGAAACAAGCAGATCTTGACAGAACTCTATCACAAGACAGCACTAGGGTGATGGTGCTCAACCATTAGAAACCACCTCCATGATCCAGTCACCTCCCACCAGGCTCCTTCTCCAACACTGGGAATTACCATTTGACATGAGATTTGGGAGGGGACATAGAGCCAAACCATATCGCAGCTAATAGGTCACAAAAATGTTAGAAGGGCAGGAAAAGCAATAGGACAAAGGCAAAGTTACGAGAGATCAGGGAGCTGCTGTGGCTCCCAGTCTACAGCACAGGAGCCTGGAGTGATGGTGAAATGGCCAGCCCCTCCCACTGAGCAGGCAGCTCCCTGTAAGCTGCTAATACTGCAGGAGCCACCATTGCTGCCAGAATGCAGCTGATATTGCTGGAGCCAAAGTCATTGGCATCGTTACAATTGAAGCTGTAGCTACTCACTGAAGCCATCTATACTGCCACTGCCTGAGCCACTTCTAGAAGTAGAACAGATTCTGCCATCATCCTGCTTTTTAATTTGGTATATATGCCTCCAATTGGCAGAACCTAACCAGAGCCTAGCTATCAAGGAAGATGAACGATTTATTTTTAAGGCCTCCATTGTTAGCTGTCAAAAGACAGTGCAGAAGTGTGAGGCTGGGGGCCAACAGAAATTTAACCAGCACAGCACCTCAATATTACATCACCAGGCATTGATTAGTCCAGGGAAACACTGGGTGATGAGCCCTGAAAATGGACATTACAGCATCAGAGTATTTACAAACTCCTTAAAGAAGTCATTTTTCTATTCCAATCCCCCATTTGATGCTTGAGAAAGCTGAAGTCCAGAAAAGGGAACTGATCTGCTCAAAGACAAACTGAAATTACTTTTTCCATTTTATAACAGTTTTATGTAATTTATTTGAGATCCAAATGTGTTTTGATTTCCCAAGATCAGATCAACTACATTAAGAGAGAGCCTGAGATGCCGTTACAATATGTTGTGTGAAATTACACTCTCATTATGGTGACAGTAGGTCTTTCAGATTTTGTTCGACAGTTTCCCACCTTCTCACTGAAGTGAAATGAATGACTAGGCAGCACCTGCTACATAGCATGAAGAGAGGAGACCCATAGTTCTTTACCACCCTATGTCAGGTGGCCGCTGAGAGAAGACTTGAAAGGAGATGAGCATAGATGTATGGACGCTCTTTGTTGCACCAGTGTGATAGGTGATGGAGGGACCTATTAGATGGGACATGGGCAGGGGCACTCCTTTATTGCTTAAAATGCAAGACTAAATTGGTGATGCCTTTCTAGAAAGGAAGTATGAAGATACAAAAATCCATCATTCCTCCCAATTTTGTACTGGGTGAACAGTAATTGGAAGCATTCTAGAAGGAACTGTCCATTGTGAAATCTTAGTTGCATACTTTAGATGAAAAACAATGAATTGGAGATACCTCTGTTTTAGTCACAGTTGTGCCATGTGTCAGTTCTATGACTGATGGCAAGACATCTTCCTTGCCCCGTGTATTTAGTTTATCAATGTAATAAGGCTGTTATTCTAACTTTATTATTATATATAGATTCGTAATTATTATTCCCTTGGCCAGTTTAACAGTGAGAAAAAAGTTGTTTTCACACAATTAGCTGTACTTTGTTTCTCTCTCCCCAGTATGTCAGCCACCTCCAGATGTCCTGCATGCTGAGCGTACCCAAAGGGACAAGGACAACTTTTCACCCGGGCAGGAAGTGTTCTACAGCTGTGAGCCCGGCTATGACCTCAGAGGGGCTGCGTCTATGCGCTGCACACCCCAGGGAGACTGGAGCCCTGCAGCCCCCACATGTGAAGGTGACTAGACTCTTATCTGGCTTGATATTTTTAGCTTGCGTCTTTATTCTCCACATGCCAGTGATTTCTGTTCGTTTTTCTTTATCTCCAGTGAAATCCTGTGATGACTTCATGGGCCAACTTCTTAATGGCCGTGTGCTATTTCCAGTAAATCTCCAGCTTGGAGCAAAAGTGGATTTTGTTTGTGATGAAGGGTGAGTATGAGCTTGCCTGACCTGCTGGACATTGAAATTGGGGTTGGGAATCAGTCTAAAAAGGGGAGATTTGGTGTGGCTTAAAAGAAAGACACACACACACACACACACCTTCAGAGAGATGAACTTTCGAAAGTATACCTAGGAAGAAAGGAAAGAAACATATAGAACTAATAACATGAGATATGAAGAGGAAACTGGAACATATATTAACTGGCAAGTTCAAAGGCAAGTATAACTAGTGGTTATGAATATATAGGTAACACATTAAGCAAAAAATATCAGCCAGGCACGGTGGCTCACGTGTGTAATCCCAGCACCTTTGGGAGGTTGAGGCAGGCAGATCACCTGAGGTCAGGAGTTGGAGACCAGCCTGGACAACATGGTGAAACCCTGTCTCTACTAAAAATACAAAAGTTAGCTGGGTTTGGTGGCATGTGCCTGTAATCCCAGCTACTCCGGAGGCTGAGGCACCAGAATCACTTGAACCTGGGAGGTGGAGTTTGCAGTGAGCCGAGATGGCACCATTGCACTCCAGCGTGAACAATGAGTGAAACTCCATCTCAGGAAAAAAATCATATTTTACAAGCAAAAGGGAATATGAGTAATTTAGAGAGTCCCAGGAAAAATTGCAAGTAATGAAAAGCTTATTATTAAAAGCTAGGATCCTTTAAGAATCATTTCAGTAAATTCTTTAAACCATCAACAGTGAAATTTGTAATAGGACTGAAAATGTAAAAATCAGCATTTTTTTAAAAATTCAGTCATATATCTTCTGGCTAGTCATGGGCTCTGGGCTCTGAGCTGGGGTCGTGATGGCTGCTGTTAATATTCCCAGCAAGGTCATTACCTTGTTTATGTCCATCTAGTGCTCTTCACAGCGTGCACATCTCTACACAGGAGCTGACCGGCATGGGCAACAAAGCACCTGATCCCATAATGTAACACAGAATCTTGGCAGCCTCCAAATGCCAGCACCCAGTAAGAGTTAGGAGGGCATCAGGGTCCAAAAGACTGAGAATTTTCGACAATTGCATACAAAAATCATGTCCTCTCTTCTTTCCTTTTTCCCCTAGAATATTCATGCTTACTCTTCAGCAGCCCAAACTGCCCTTTTGAGCCTTCTTCACGCCATCACAGATGTGGAGATGAAAGGACAATCTCTGTTCTCTCGCCAGCTATTTCCCACTTTTCCACTCCAAACTGGGAGCTGTTTTACTTGCTGTTCCAGGGTCAGAGTTAGGAAGGCATTACATTAGAAGACTGGGTTTCTAATAACAACAATGAGTGATTTATCAGGTTATCATGGAGTAATCAGTGAAACTCCAAGCCTGGGTCCTGGGTCAAGGGGATGGCGCCTATGTCATGACCACCTTTTTCAATTCAAGCAGGACTATCATGTGACCAAGCTACTACATTTTGCCATTCTATATTGTTCCCTTCTGGAGGCTGTGATTTTTCCAGAATAAGGTAGCCTGTGCAACTCTGCCATCTGCTGGCCTCAGATCCTCAAAATCCTGAAATTGGGGCTGGGCCTTAGATTGTGAACTAAGTGTCCTCTTGGCTGAAACAGCTCACTATTCACTCCTATTTTCTTCTTTAGATTTCAATTAAAAGGCAGCTCTGCTAGTTATTGTGTCTTGGCTGGAATGGAAAGCCTTTGGAATAGCAGTGTTCCAGTGTGTGAACGTGAGTAATAGGAGCAACATTTCAGGCCAATCTCTCCCCTTCATCTGTTCACTATTTGTCCTATGGCCTCCCTCAATGTGATTCTTCAATATTCTAGTCTTAATTATCGATTTAAAAATAGTTTATTTTAATAATGTTTGGTTGTGAATCAATATGTACATCACCTGTCTTTGCAACCATCTGATCTGTCTCTGTCCTTCTGCATTCTCTGTTCTAGTGCGATAAATCCTTTGGTCTTGTGCTCCTAGGTCAGGAGAGATTAGATAATGTGAAGCTTTAACAATTTTCTTTCTTTCTCTAGTTTTTTCTTTCTTTTTTCTCTTCCTTCCATCCTTCAGTTCTTTCTTCCCTTCTTCTCTCCTTCTCCCCTTTCTTCTTTCCTTCCTCCCTTCTTTCTTTTTCATTTTGTTCTCCCATCAAAGTGCAGTCAGTCTACAATTTATATATATATGATAATACACAAATATTGAACATGGCTTTATTTAATCAATATTTATTGATCACATACTTTGTGCCTGATGTTCATCTAGCCACTGGAGTTATATCAATGAACAAGATGGATGAATTCCCTGTCCCCATGTTGTTTCTACTTAGGTGGGGAGAGGGACAAGAAAAAAAATAAATTCAATGCTATGAGACAATAGAGCAAAGCACTGAGGAATGAGGCAAAAATGGGGAGCAACATTAGACAGGGTGAGCAGTTTGAGACTCCTTAAATTCTCAAAACATGTACCTAAATAATTTATGCTGAGAGATTCATAAATAATAAGTCATTTTTTTAAAATGAGCCTCATATGTTCAATAATCAGTAGACTACTGATTTCTCCTAGTCTACCCATGTATAATTTCCCCAATGGAAGATAGAACTTTGCTTCAATTCTTGATTCTAATGATTGGAAAACGTGTTTCTTTAGAAAATCATGAAATTTTACTAAAATGTTTATGTTGTTAGAAATATACTTGGACATCTTACAGTGATTTTTAGAGTAAAATTTTGGAAGAACATAACTTATATAGAGATTCTTGCTGTCTAAGAAATCCAGTGCTCCTTGAAGCAGTATGACAAGTGTCTGTTCTACTATCATGAATGAAAGCTCATTAACTGGACTACTCAAGCTTTCTCTTATTTTTCATAACTCTTGCTAGTTAAAATAGTTTCTTCCAAATGCCAGTTCTAATGAAAAATGCCAATTAGAAATGAGGAAGAGACTGTTCTAAACAAATCATTAGATGCTAGAAAGGAGTAACAACTTGAAACCTGACCCAGAGAGTAAAAAGAGAAAATAAATCATCAACAGACCTAGACATTTTCAAAAGCAAAGCCATCTGAATCCATTTGGAGTTTTTTTTTTTTTTTTATCATGGCCTGACTATGTTTCAATTCACTGTGACAGGGCTATTGTTATCACTGAGATTGATGATCAATATCAATAAGTAATCAGTGAAAGGTTTCACCTATTTAAGATGATTAGCACACATATATACATTTGAGAAATATTTCCTAAGAATGTAGGCTCCTTCCTCAGCGCTGTGTCCCCAGGATCCTGATGAAGGGCTGACACAGGATAAGTGCTCAATTAATATATATTGACTAAATGAATAAATAACCCTTCAAAATGGTTATTTTTCTTCTTCAAATGTTTTGCTACTTCATTAAAGTTGTAAAGTTTCTACTGTCCAGGAACTGTTACTATCCGGAAGATTCAGGATAGACAAATCTCTTTTGTACTTTGCAATACATTTTCATTGACATCTCATTTAATCCAACTCTTCAAAGTCCTAATGTCTACTGTCATCTCCTTAGCATATTTTCAGCAACACCAATCATAGCACCCTGTAATTGCAGAATACCTCTGGTGAAACTCCTGAATGAAACTTAGAGCTTTTGTATGTTTTCTAGAAATCTTTTGTCCAAGTCCTCCAGTTATTCCTAATGGGAGACACACAGGAAAACCTCTGGAAGTCTTTCCCTTTGGAAAAGCAGTAAATTACACATGCGACCCCCACCCAGACAGAGGGACGAGCTTCGACCTCATTGGAGAGAGCACCATCCGCTGCACAAGTGACCCTCAAGGGAATGGGGTTTGGAGCAGCCCTGCCCCTCGCTGTGGAATTCTGGGTTAGTGCTCATTTCCCCACATCCCTAATGGGTTCAGAATATCTAACCCAGCCCCTCCATATTTCCATAATTACAGTGTAGTATTTATTTGTATGTATGCATTTGCCACAATGGAATGCCAAACCAATGATAGATGGTTCTAAGGTAGGTCAACACATAAGATCCTGATGACCTTTGCAGATGGAGGGACTGATGAAAAAAGAGGGAGGCGGTGAGTGGTGGGAAAGTCCTTCATTAGAATCATATGAATTAAAAACAGATGCCTGTGAATCTCCTTATTGAAATGTTTGGTTTAGAAATCTGACCTAGAAAATCGGTGGCTCCTTCTGCCAGGAAACGTCTTGAGTTCCCGCCCATGCTTGACAGCCTCTCATTGGAGTTTTGATGACTTGAAGTACAAGGAAACCAGACAGGAAAGGTGGAACCTGGGCAGAAAAACTCTTTCTGGCTTCCTAAAAATGTGAAAAATTAAATGGGAGCTATCTTTACATTAAATTATATGAGCATTAGCTGAGCGTGGTGGCAATTGCCTGTGGTCCCAGCTACTCGAGAGGCTGAGATGGGAGTATCCCTTAAGCCTGGGAGGCAGAGGTTGCAGTGAGCCAAGATTGTGCCACTGCACTCCAGCCTGGGTGACAGAGCGAGACCCTATCTCAAAAACAATAAAAATAGGCATTAGGAGGCCAAGGCTGGTGGATCACTAGAGGTCAGGAGTTCCAGACCAGCCCGCAAACACAGTGAAACTCCAACTCTACTAAAAATAGAAAAAAAATTTAAAAACAAAAATAAATTATATGAGTAGAAAGACCAGATAGCAGGCTAGTCTTCCAAATAATATACTTCCTTATAAGCCTATGCTAATGGAACTTTCCTTTCTATTTTACAGGGAAGTTTTTTTTTTTTCATAACTAAAATTTTCTTTTCTTCTGGCATCAAATCTACCAAGGAAGAGAAAAGAGGAAACACACTGGGTATCTTTTTATTAACTCAAATATTCTTGATTTCTTGGTCTCTAGGTCACTGTCAAGCCCCAGATCATTTTCTGTTTGCCAAGTTGAAAACCCAAACCAATGCATCTGACTTTCCCATTGGGACATCTTTAAAGTACGAATGCCGTCCTGAGTACTACGGGAGGCCATTCTCTATCACATGTCTAGATAACCTGGTCTGGTCAAGTCCCAAAGATGTCTGTAAACGTGCGTAAACTTGCGTTGGATCTTTCCCATGTCTGCAAAAGCTTCTTATGGAATTATTTCAAATGTGGGATATGAGAAACCTTTTCTGAAAAGTGTTCGGATAGATGGATGTAAGAGTTTTTCTTGTAGGCATCCTTGATTGTTGCTTGAAATGTTAACTTCATGAGAATGTTTCAAGAAATAGTTGTAGAGAAAATCTTCATTCCCTATGGGAAAGAAAATAATAAATGACTAGATCAGGAAAAAAATGGTGTAGGAAGACAAATTCTGTTTGAATAACTAGGTGGGAAGAAATCCTTTGCAAACTTTGAAATATATTGATAGTAAATAATGCCATAAATGACCTTTACATTTTGATAAGGGATGCAAGGTCTCTACACAGATCTAAATCTAGATCTAGATAGATCTGGAGGGAAGGTCTTTTTGAAAGTGGGGCTTAGTAGGTGGCTGATCCTCAGCGCTCTGATGAGTTTTCTCAAGGTGCCAAAATCTGTGGAACCATCAGAGCCGCGTGTTTTCTTCAGGAAGCTACATGCAGGTTGAGACCTTACGTACTGAAGAGAGTTCAGATTACTCTACCTGGCTCCAAAACATTTTCTTTCCCACAGGTAAATCATGTAAAACTCCTCCAGATCCAGTGAATGGCATGGTGCATGTGATCACAGACATCCAGGTTGGATCCAGAATCAACTATTCTTGTACTACAGGGTGAGTTGGCAGCAACATCTCTTGGTTTAAGAGTTCCAGCACAGCGATAGTACTTTCTAGCCACATCTCAGCAAGGAAACTAGGCTATTGCCACCTGCTCTTAAGAGGCTTGAACACAGGTGTTAACTCCTGATTGAAATGAACAAAGATAGGAGAAGATTAGGGGGAAAATCTGTATCCTTGCTGGAAACCAGGGCAGTGCACATATAAAGAGTATGCTGTTCACTGGATGGGAAAGAAAAAAACTTAGAAGTGTAGTAGTCAAAGCACACAAACAACCCTAACCCAGAGTAGACATTGCTGGAAGAAAGGGAAGACCATGTAGCAGCTGTGTGAGAGAATGAATCTTAATGATAACAGCATGATCCCTTGCTAGGGCTGCCATCAAAAAGTACAGGCCTTCCTCGTTTTATTGTACTTCGCAGATGTTATGCTTTTTACAAATTGAACGCTTGTGGGAACGCTGTGTAAGCATGTTCGTCGGCATCATTTATCCAACAGCGTGTGTTGACTTCGTGTCTCTGTGTAGCATTTTGATTATTCTCACAGTATCCCAGATGTTTTCATTATTATCATGTCTGTGATAGTGATCTGTCATCAGTGATCTTTGATGTTACTATTGTCATTGTTTGGGGTCCCTACGAACTGCACCCATATAAGACAGAAAACTTAATCAATAAATGTGCGTGCTTTGACTGCTCCATGGACTAGACATTCCCCTTCTGTCTCCCTCTCTTCAGGACTCCCTAATCCCTGAGACACAATAATACTAAAATGACTCCAATTAATAACCCTACAATAGCCTTTAAGTGTTGACATGAAGGGAAGAGTCATGCATCTCTTACTTTAAATCAAAAGCTAGAGATGATTAAGCTTACTGAGGAAGATACGTTGAAAACCAAGATAGGCCAAAAGCCATTCCTCATGTGCCAAACAGCTAGAAAGTTGTAAAGGCAAAGTAAAAATACTTGAAGGAAATTTAAAATGCTCTTCCAGTGAACACATGTATGATAAGAAGGTAAAACAGCCTTATTGCTGATATGGAAGAAGTTTTAGTGGTCTAGACATAAGATCAAACTAGAAACATTTCCTGAAGCCAAAGCGTAATCCTGAGCAAGGCCGTAACTCTCTTCAATTCTGTGAAGGCTGACAGAAGCTGGAAGCTAGCAGAATTTGGTTCCTGAGGTTTAAGGAAAGAAGCCCTCTCCATAACATAAAGGTCCAAGGTGAAGCAGCCAGTGCTCATATAGAAGTTGCAGCAAGTTATCTAGAAAATCTAGCTAAGATCACTGACGAAGGTGTTACACTAAATAACAGATTTTCCATGTAGACAAAACAGCCATCTATTGGACTTTCATAGCTAGAGAGGAGAAGCCAATACCTGGGTTCAAAGCTTCAAAGAACAGGCTGACTTTTTAGGAGCTAATGCCGCTGGTGACTTTGAGTTGAAGCCAATGTTCACCGACCATTCTAAAAATCCTAGGGCCCTTAAGCATTAAGTTAAATATACCTTGCCTGTGTCTATAAATGGAAGAACAAAGCCTGATGACAGAGGTATGTTTGCGGCATAGTTTACTGAATATTTTAAGCCCACTGTTGAGATCTAGTGCTCAGAAAAACAGATTCCTTTCAAAATATTACTGCTCATTGACATTGCACCTAAGCAGCCAAGAGCTCTAATGGAGAAGGACATGGAGATGAATGGAGTTTTCCTGCCTGCTAACAACAGCAGCCATTCTGCAGCCCATGGCTGAAGGAGTAATTTTGACTTTCAAGTTTCACTATTTAAGAAATACATTTTGTAAGGTGAGTCCCCACAGACAGTAATTCCTCTGATGGATCTGAACAAAATAAGTTGAAAACTGCTGGAAAGAATTCATCATTCTACATACCATTAAGAACATTCGTGATTCATGGGAAGAGCTTAAAATATCAACATTAATAGGAGTTTGGTAGAAGTTAATTCCAACCCTCATGGCTGACTTTGAGAGGTTCAAGACTTCAGCGGAGGAAATAACTGAAGATGTGGTGAAAATCGCAAGAGAACTACAATTAGAAGTGGAGCCTGAAGACGTGACTGAATTGCGACAAATTCATGATCAAACTTGAACAGATGAGGAGTTGCTTCTCATGAATCAGCAGAGAAAGTGGTTTTTTTGAGGTGGAGTGTCTTCCTGGTGATGATGACATGAGCATTGTGAAAATGACCACAAAGGATACAGAATATTACAAAAACTTAGGTGATAAAGCAGCAGCAGTATCGGGAGGATTAACTCCAATTTTGAAAGCAGTTCAGAGGGTAAAATGTTATCAAACAGCATTGCATGCTAGAAAAATCTTTTGTGAAAGGAAGAGTCCATCAATACAGCAATTTTATTGCTGTCTCAGCTTAAGAAATTGCCACAGCCACCCCGGCCTTCAGCAACCACCACCCTGATCAGTCAGCAGCCATCAACCTTGAGGCAAGACCCTCCACCAACAAAAAGATTACAAATTATTGAAGGTCAGATAATCTTTAGTATTTTTTATCAATAAACCTTTTTTTAAAGTATGACTTTGTTTAGACATAATGCTATTTCACACTTAATAGACTACCATATAGTATAAACACAACTTTTAGACTCACTGAGAAATCAAAAAATTCATCTGACTCATTTGTTGTGATATGTGTTTTATTGTGGTGGTCTGGAACTGAACCTGCAATATATTTGAGGAATGTCTGTAACACGAAGTGGGCGGCTTAATACAACAGAAGTTTTTGGAGTTCCATTCTAGAGACTGGAAATCCAAAATCAAGGTTTTGGGAGGGCCACGCTCCCTCTGAATCCTGTAGGGAAGGATCCTTCATTGCATCTTCCAGCTTCTGGAGCCACAGGCCTTCCTTGGCATGTGGCAGCAGAACTCCAATTTCTGTCTCTGTCCTCATATGGCCATCTTCCCTCTGGGTCTGTGTCCTCATATGCTGTTCTCTCTGTGCATGTCTGTTTCCAAAGTTTTCCCTTTTAATAAGGACACCAGTCACACTGGATTAGGGCCTACTTTCATGACCTCACCTTAACTTGATTGCGTCTGCAAAGATTGTATTTCCAAATAAGATCACATCCACAGGGACTGGAGGTTAAGACTTCAGCATACTTGGGGGGAGACACAATTCAACCTATAACAGAGCCCCTTTGAAAATGTCAGGCATCAGGTGCTCACAGCACACGGTCCAGCTGTTGGTGCTCACCCTTGCTCAGCACACGGTGGAGGCTCTGCCTCAATCTCATTCTTCATGGGAACAGCTAAGCCAGGTAGCGAATACGGGTTATGTTTGTGTCACCACAACAGACACTGAAAGGAAGTTTGTGGTGTCCAGCACACTTGCCAGCATAGGCCTCACAGACCACAGCACCTAGAATCTGACAAAAATTAGAATAAATCCGATGTCTCCTTTTCTCTCTTTTTTTTAAGCATTTTTAAATGCAATTGGTAAATTTCCTGACTGTACCCTACTCATCTTGCATTGCTGAATAAGTGAGGAACCTCTCTATGGCATGAAGCAGAAAACCATTGAGCTTATGAGAAGAAACAGGAAATACATGTAAAAGAGACCAGTCTGAAAAATCAGGAGAAATTTTACAAAAGAGATTTACTGCCAAGAAACCAGGGAAACTTTCAGAACACTCTCCTTTTCATATTTGTAACAAGATTCAATTGTACAAATACTTCTGTGAAACTAGCCATGAAGTGTGTACATGAATGAATATATGTATTCAGTGTGTTTATATATTTCATTTCATACATGTGATCTATATCATATATATATATCACAATGAATATTGCAGAAAATTAAAGCAAAGAGTAAGAAGAGTTAACCAAATGTTCCCTGAATGCAGTGAGAAAAGATGAAAAGGAGAAGACAGGCAAGCACAGTGGCTCACATATGTAATCCCAACACACTGAGAGGCTGAGGCAAGAGTATCACTTGAGCCCAGGAGCTCAAGACCAGCCTAGACAACATGACAAAAACCCATCTCTACAAAAAAGTATAAAAATTAGCTGGGCATGGCAGCATATGCCTGTAGTCACAGCTAGGCAGGAGACTAAAGTGGGAGGATCACCTGAGCCCAGGAGGCTGAGGCTTCAGTGAGCCTTGATGGCAACCTGCACTCCAGCCTGGATGACAGAATGAGACCCTGTCTCAAAAAAGGAAAAAGAGAAGACATATGTAACACAGTGTCAGGATTCAAAATACATGTAGCAAAAATTCCAGAAGGGTAAGCAAATAAGCCCATACCTAGCCATCACTAGGGAAACTTCTGTGTTTCAGGGATAGAGAAAAAAACTCTGATTCCAGAAATAAAATGTGAAAATATAATACCCGCAAAAGAAATAAGTTTATTGACACCACATTGATTCTATACAACACTAAATTGTAGAAGATAGCATTTCTCTTGAGCCAAGCTAATATTCACACCTAGAGGCTCCAGATACACATTAAAGGATAAGAAAGACACAAAAATTGTACCATTTAAGTATGTTTCCCAGGTAATTCATAAGCAAATTTTTAAAAAGGAGAATGATGAATTCCAAAGGAAATCTCAATGAGATAGGATATTGGTAAAAAGAAAAAACAACAATAAAAAAATACACACAAAAACTCGGCAATGTAATCATAATTTACTAATAATCTCTCTAAACTCATAGAACATATCAATAAAACTAGAAAATGTGAGACAGCAAGAAAAGGTAGGCTAAACTTACATTACAGAAAAGATGAGTAGACTGACTATATAGAGTTTGACTCTAAAATTGAGAAAATAGGTTTAAATATCTGTTGTGTGCATATCCATGTGTGTAATATACATGCACATATATAAAATGAAATTCCTCATTAGAAAAAATAATAAGTTTAATTTCCAAATTATTAGAATAACTAAAACAGCTGAATCTATCTCTTCCATATAGCAAGTGAGAGGGAAAGAAAAGGAAAGACAAGGAATGCATTTGTCTCTTCCACCAGAAATAAGCCCCCTCATTTTTGGGTCAGGTCATTTTATTCATTGCTTTCTCCACATCCTCATCATTGGGCATCATGAAATCAATGAAAAAGGCAGTGAAAGAATGATGATGAAAGCAAATCAAATGTATCATTTATCTCAATACATTTGGTTTAATCCTCTTGTTGAAAAACAAAGTCTCTTAGACAAGATCAAAAGCAACAAATCTTGTATTTATAAAAAACATGTCTCAAGTAAAATGACATAGTATTATACACACACACACACACACACACACACACACAAATTAAGTGAAAATGCAAACAAAAAAAGGCAAAAATAATATTTAGAGAAAGATAGAATTTAAGAAAAAAATTGTCAAACTGGTCTACAAAATAATTGTTTTATTTTCGTGCCAGTTGCAGTCCACAGTGAAGCCAAGATATTAAGAAGCAATGTGGGCCAGGAGAAGTTAGAGCAGAAATATCTCTTTCAATAATGAAAGAATAAGAAAAAGAAATAGAAGAGCTGGAAACAATAGGTAAAGTTTAGGCTAGGCCTTAGACTTCTCCTGCATTGTAATCCTTCTGGTTTGCCACATATGCATGCTGTCAGGAAGTTGATGAGGTATGTACAGGACAATGATTTTCCATTTTTTGCCTTTAGGCACCGACTCATTGGTCACTCATCTGCTGAATGTATCCTCTCAGGCAATACTGCCCATTGGAGCACGAAGCCGCCAATTTGTCAACGTGAGTTGAAATCTCTTTCCCCATTCACCCCACCATTGAATCCTAGAGTTGTCCTCCTAGAATTACAAAGAATGGATCTCATCCCTCTTGGAAATGGTATCCTTCTGATATTTGAAGAATCTAGTCATATCCTTAAAATGGCTCACAGCATTCCAAACTTCCGCCTTCACCTAGAAATGCTTTTTTTTTTCTTATCTCAGTCTAATGTATTTTAAACTAGTCTTTAGCTCATTTAACCAGCCCCCAATGTCCTCTTCTGTTGGTTGAGCACCTCGCAGTTTGAAGAGCATTTTGTTTAGTGAAGTCAACAAATACAAAGTCAGTGAAAGAAACCCCATATCCTCTCTGCAAGCTCTTAGTATCACATCAGATATTCAAGCCATGCAGCTCTTTCTTCCTTCTTATTCTTTGTCTAAACAGGATCATGCCATCTTCCCTGTGAGTTGTTTGGAAGATGAGCTTTCTACATTTTGGGGAGCAAAGACGAATGAGCAATTGCAAGCTAACAGGGAATATAAAATGTGTATAATCCTGGGTTTAGTGATGGTGTGAGGAAATCAGCAATTTCAAACCCAGTTGGTGGCAGGATAAGTGGGAACAAACTTTGTAGAAGGCCAATAAACTGGCTGGGCACTGCCCTACAGTAGAGTAGGACACAGTATTCAGTTCTTCCAAGATCAGACGAGATTGGGCGCATTCAGGGTGGTATGGCTGTAAATCAGTATCCAGTTCTTTTTATTACTTCTGAATCTGTAAGTATCATGTTTATTATATGTAATATTGTATATTTGTGCTTTGTCTTTATTAGTTCTTCCAGAGCTTTTGTTCTTATTATTTAATAAAGATGTTATACTGAGCCACGTGTGGTGACTCAAACTTGTAATCCCAGCACTTTGGGAGGCCTAGGTGAGCAGATGGCTTTAGCCCAGGAGTTTGAGACCAGCCTGTACAACATGGTGAAATCATGTCTCTACAAAAAATACAAAAACTAAACAGGCACGGTGGCACATGCCTGTAGTCCCAACTACTCGGGAGACTGAGAGGTGGGAGGATTGCTTGAGCCAGAGAGGTCGAGGCTGCAATGAGCCATGATCGTGCCACTGCACTCCAGCCCGGGCAGCAGAGCCAGACCTTGTCTCAAAAAAAAATGCTATGCTGTATGCTTTATTATATTAATATCCAATACCATAAAGGCAAATGCCTTCTATATAGAGAGAACTAGATTAATAATGGTGAGATAACATAGTTAAATTCTCGTTTAGCAGGAGAAATAAAAACATAGACTATAGGCTAGGCACAGTGGCTCATGCCTGTACTCCCAGCACATTAGGAGGCTGAGGTGGGCAGATCACTTGAGGTCAGGAGTTCGAGACCAGCCTGGCCAACATGGTGAAACCCCATCTCTACTAAAAATACAAAAGTTAGCCGAGTTTGGTGGCGCATGCCTGTAATCCCAGCTACTCAGGAGGCTGAGGCAGGAAAATCGCTTGAACCTGGGAGGCGGGGGTTGCAGTGAGCTGAGATCACGCCACTGCACTCCAGTGTGGGGAACAGAGTGAGGATCTGTTAAAACAAACAAACAAACAAAAAAAAAACACATGGACTCTAATAATACATGGATACATTTAGTGAAATAAGGTTAACTGAGTAGAGCAGCACTCATAACATTTTAAAACTATAAGAACATGTCTGTACATTAGCAAATATTAGATGAGAATAATATTGTCAATATTTACTTCTGGTAATTTGAAATTAAAAAACAAAACTGTTAGCAAAATTTACAATAAAGTATAATTATTAGAAACCAGGCTGGGCACGGTGGCTCACGCTTATAATCCCAGCACTTTGAAAGGCCGAGGCAGGCGGATTGTTTGAGGCCAGGAGTTCAAGACTAGCCTGCCCAACATGGCCAAACCCCATCTCTACTAAAAATACAAAAATAAACCAGACATGGTGGTGCATGCCTGTGATCCCAGCTACTCGGGAGGTTGAGGTGGGAGGATTGCTTGACCTGGGAAGTAGAGGTTGCAGTTAGCCATGATTGTGCCACTGCACTCCAGCCTGGGTGACAGCAAGACTCTGTCCCAAGGTTTTGTTTTGGTTAACTTGCTGTCTCTTTTCCAGGAATTCCTTGTGGGCTACCCCCAACCATCGCCAATGGAGATTTCATTAGCACCAACAGAGAGAATTTTCACTATGGATCAGTGGTGACCTACCGCTGCAATCTTGGAAGCAGAGGGAGAAAGGTGTTTGAGCTTGTGGGTGAGCCCTCCATATACTGCACCAGCAATGACGATCAAGTGGGCATCTGGAGCGGCCCCGCCCCTCAGTGCATTATACCTAACAAATGCACGCCTCCAAATGTGGAAAATGGAATATTGGTATCTGACAACAGAAGCTTATTTTCCTTAAATGAAGTTGTGGAGTTTAGGTGTCAGCCTGGCTTTGTCATGAAAGGACCCCGCCGTGTGAAGTGCCAGGCCCTGAACAAATGGGAGCCAGAGTTACCAAGCTGCTCCAGGGGTGAGTCTGACTGATGCCTAGAAGGGCCCTGCCAGTGACATGTGTTGCTGTTGGATCAGGAGATGAGTATTTGTTAAGGGGGAGGTATGTATGGTGAGGAGGGTGGGAAAGTAAGTTTTGGGGGAAGAAGCATGAAATTAAGAATTGGGGGTGTGCATGCACCCATGCATATGTGTCTTCATTTGGAAAGCAAGACCTTAATTAGCCAAGAAAAAAGCTATTTTGGACTCACCTATTATTTGATTCTCAGGGCAAAGTACCAGCTGCAATCTCTCTCAAGTATATTGAAAAATTATATGGACTTTCTCTATGATCAGCTATGT